>NC_000022.11:34315624-34467139 GCF_000001405.40 Homo sapiens | reverse complement strand
AGGTTGGAAACCCCTCTGGTGGAAGCTTTGTTACACACTTGGTCAACAGCTTGTTCACAAGGTAACGGGCCGTGAGCAAGCACACTGAAGATGTTACTCTAAAGCAAAAAGAGAGGAAAGAGTATGTTTTCCTGGTAAATATAATGATGTTACTACAACATTTCTTCAGCAAGCAACAAGATGAGAGGTAGAGGCAAGTTCCTGTGTGGGCAAAATAATTCCCCCATGTCCCTTGCCAAAGACACACATCCTAATACCATGAATCTGTTAATGCATTACCTTATGCAGAGGGCAGAATTAAGGTTGCAAATGGAATTAACATTTGTGATCAGCTGACTTTGAAATGGATTAGTTATCCTAAATTACCCAGGTGGGTACAATGCAATCAAAACAGCTCCTAAAGGACAGAGAGAGAAGGGGGAAAAAAAAGACTGACAAAGACACTGTCAGAGTCTTTCTTCTGATGTAGAAAAGATTCAACCAGCCATTGCTGCTTTGAAGATGAGGAAGGGGCCAAGAGCCAAGAAATGCAGACAGCCTTAAAAAACTAGAAATGGGCCGAGCACGGTGGCTCATGCCTGTAATCCCAGCACTTTCGGAGGCCGACGAAGGCAGATCATGAGGTCAGGAGTTCAAGACCAGCCTGGCCAACACAGTGAAACTCGGTCTCTACTAAAAATAAAAAAATTAGCCAGGTATGGTGGCAGGCACCTGTAATCCAAGCTACTTGGGAGGCTGAGGCAGGAGAATTACTTGAACCCAGGAGGTGAAGGTTGCAGTGAGCCAAGATCATGCCACTGCACTCCAGCCTGGTTGACACAGTGAGACTCTGTCTCAGGAGATAAAAAAAAAAAAAAAAGAAAAGAAAGCAAGCCAGAAATAGATTCTCCCCTAGGGCCTCCAGAAAGAAATTCAGCCCTGCCAATATCTAGATTTTATCCAGTGAGATTCATTTCAGACTTCTGATCTCCAAAACTGAATGTGTTGTTTAAGCCAATACGTTGGTGGTATTTATTACAGGAGCAATAGAAAAAGAATACAGTGCCACAATTCTGAATGTCATCTAGAAGTTTCTGATCAGAGATTCTGGCTCATTGCCCTAAAAGCTATAAGACTAAGGTGATAAATCAATCTGGAAGTTAGAAAACAAAAAATACTATCCCTACTCTAAAACTGGTGAGCTGAAAGATCAAAGATTCCTCTCTGAACCTCCATTCACTCATCTCAGAGGCTGAACATTGGTCTCTAGGGTCCTTATAGATATATAACCAAAACCTCCAGGAAGGTTTTGCCTCTGTGGCTGGTGACTCTTCCGGATAGGAATGGAACCTCTCATGCAGCTATGGAAGACGAGGGGACAAACCCCAAGACTGCCTTTAGAGACAGTGCACAAATACACGAGGCATTCCAGAATGTTGCAGCATTTGGTATTTATTGCTGTGCAACAAATTGCCCTAAAACTCATCAGGTCAAAGCAACACACATTTATTATTCCACAGTTCCTGGGAAACTCTAGGCATGGTTTTGTTGGGTGCCTCTTGTTCAGGGTCTCTCTCAAGGCTACTATCAAAGTGTCAGTCAGGACAGCAGTCATAGCAAGACTTGACTGGGGAGAGAATCTGTTTCCATTTTCGCTCATGTGGCTGCTGGTGGGCTTCAGGTCCTCCCTGGCTCCTGGCTGGATATTAGTTCTGAGCCACATGGCCTTTTCATAGAGCAGCTCACAACAGGGTAACTTGCTTCCCTTCAAGTGAGCAAGCCACAATCTTTATGAGATCTGATATCTGAAGTGACATCTAATCCATCTCCTGCATTCTATTCATCAGAAGAGAATTTCTAAGTCCAGCTCACAATCAGTGGGAGGGGATGACACAAAGGCATGAATACCAAGAGGTATGGCTAACCGGGGGCCACACATCTCAGTTGCCCTCGATAATATGTAGAATGATGAAACAGTGTATATTCCCAACTTTTGCGAAGAATAATGGGTTTCATTCTCAGATGAGGGGAAAAATCGTATTTTACTATGGCTGGTTTGACCAAAAGTTAGGAGATTAATCATGAGCTTGAAGTCATGACTTTGAACTTCTTGAGCACCTGCCACCTTCAGCCTGGCCTGGGACTGCTGAAGATGAAGTATAGGAGAATTTCTGCTGCATTCTCAGTACAGGCTGTCATCATTTCACACCTAGATGATTGCAATAGCTCATTAATGGCCTACTGCCTTTTAATACTGCCTCTTTCAACTCATTTTCTACAAAAAAGCAAGAATATTTTAAAATAATTATGCTATGCTTTGGCTTAAAATGTTTCCATGGTTCTCATGCACTCAGGATAAAGCCGAAAGATCTTACCAGCCAACAAGACTTGCATCATCTGACAGCTGCCTCTCTCTCCAGCCTTGTTTCACCCTTTTAATACTGCTTGACTACTGTTCTCTAACCACTGTCATCTCCTTTTAGTCCCCTGAACTTGTCAAATTATTTCTTGCCCCAGGGCCTTTGCACATGCTTGTATACAGGCTTCTTTGAACTCTTATTAGAATAATTTCTACTTAGTTCAAATGCCATATCTTCAAGTGATGTAATTTGTAATTATACACATGGTTTTCCTGTTCAAAGCCTATCTTATTCATTCAACTCTATGTTTCAGAGGAGAACCATATCTCATGCTCACCACTATGTATCAGTATCTTTAGTAAGTGCCTGGCACATAGGAGCTTGACAAATAGTTTGAGTAAATGAAGGGAACCCAAGAGTACTGAAACCCTAGCTTGGACCAGCCACACCTCCATCTTATAGATCTAAGAAGAATTATATACACAAAGAAAGAAGAACAAGGCAGGGAACTTATATTAGATTTGAACTAATAACCAACTTCTAATAATAAGAAACAGAGCTACGTGCAGGACATCTTTTTTACTATACTTGCTATCTCTTAAAATAGCCTTGAATCAATTAAGCTAAAGGTCTGTCATGCCTATTTCTTCCCATTCTTCAATGAAGAAGAATATCACCCCATTGCTGAGGGCCAAGCTTGTGTAGTCTGCCTAGAGACTTGCTTAGTCTAAGGCAACATCTATGGGCCAGGCTGTCCCTTGGGAGAAAAAAGAGCAACCGAAAAGAAAACAAAGAGATACGTGAGGCTGTACCATTATTGACTTGTAGAAGGAAGAAAGACAAGAGGTCATGGGTACCATGTTTTTATGCCCTTGACAGCTCTACCCATTGGGATCATGGTCCTTATAAAACAGCCTGAAATCAGGCTAACCAGGTCAGCCTCCTCCTTCCAACTCCTCCTCCTTTTTGGTGGAATGATCTGATCTTGATTCTGCTACCTTTTGGGGGAGGATGAATGATAGGAATAGTAAAAGGGGTGAATTGGAGCCTTGAACTCCTTTTCCTAGAGATCAATAATGGCAGCTATTGAAATATGAAACTCCTGTGTGCATGAAAAATGGAAGTGCCATCTTGAGCATTTTATTCTCTCCCTTTAGATAGCACTTTAAAGTTCGAAGAGTAACTTCATATTTAATATCTCCTTTGATCCTTAAAGCACCTCTGCAATGTAAGCAATAGGCTTAGGTGAATTTTGCATATTTAAAAACATTGTCTGCATGAATATATTTTGAAATAACTCAGTTTTAAAAACTATGATTTTCTTTCAACTGATACTTCCACAAGGTATTAGAGGATCTAGCTTTTTAATTAATTTATGCACATATTTGTGAGAACACTGAGTTTGGCTGTTAAAGATAAATCTTTTCCCCCTATGTTTTTTTCCATTCTTCATCATCTTCTTTTCTTTACACCCCACTCTCTTTTCTTTCTCTTTTTTTGCTAAATAATTCAGTCCTAAGTCTATTAGGTGGTGCAGAAAGGGTAGGCATCTGCACCTATGGAGGAGGAAGCTACGGTAACCTTGAGTCCAGGATCAAACACATGCAGCGTAGCAGGGGCCACAGGTGAAGGCTGCCTGGAGCAGGGTCCTAAGTCTTTCCAGGGCTAGGGGGGAGGGGGCTTCCATGAAGAGGAATGTGTGAAATGTCAGGGTCTGAAGCATGTGGGGAAGTTGTTACGTCAGGGGAGAGTCATCCCAAGTGGGTGTGGAGTCATTCATACAAAGAGGTCTCAGAGCACCAGTGGGGGGATTTATGTCTATGTGGGTGGTAGGGAGCTTGCCAAGCATGGACAGCCGGAGCCTGAGCAGGAAGAAGAAGAGCATGTTCATGAAGGACAATCTATGGAGGGTGTGGAGGCCTAAGAAGGGCAGGGGCATCCTGGGGAGGAATCGGCTTATAGTGGAGAGTCAGGGCAGGAGAAAAGGGAGGAGGTGTGGCCTGGAAGGGGGTGCCTCAAAAGATACCAAAGTATGGGGGCAGCCCAATGCAGGGATGTCCAACTAGCAGGGTGAAGGGGTATCTACATGGTGTAGTGTCCCCACATGAGTGATGGAACGAAGCAGTCATTGGTCCAGGGGAGTTGGTGGCAACAGAAGCAGGAGATTGGTTCCATATCAGGGGATTGATCTAATTAGTAAATAATGTAGGGATAGTGGGAACCACTGATGGTGGGAGAGACAAATATGGAAAGGCAGAAAGCAAGAATGAAAACCATAGTTTTGTACTACAGTTGGAGTGAACTCACGGTTTTTAATATAGATAAATGGTGTGAAAATAAAATCCAAAATGGAACAGATCATATCAGAAGTATCTAAAAAGGAACTGGGAGGGTGTAAGAACTGAACCCCAGCCACGTACATTCCCAGATGGATTTTGACCCGTTGAACTGGGCCAACTTGTAAAACCAGCTGCATTTGATTTTAACTATTCATACTGGACCTGATCACCAACCTCCTGAAGAGAGCTACGCCGAACTAGATTGATCATCAGAAACATCCTAAGTTGTTAACCAGCCATCATCAATCATGGGCTGCACTAAAACCTTCCAGATGTGTAATCGCACAGTAGCACTTTATAACTTTGTAACCTTGCCTAGACAAAACACAGTTTAGCTGCCTGCTAGACCTGTGTCTCCTGAATTGCAATTCCTAAGACCCCCCTGCCATCAAAACACTTTTTCTTCTGTTTCCTGCTCTGCAGTGTTTATTTCTTATTAGTTGACAATAGATGTAAATGTATGACTCTGAATACATGCATTCCCTGGCTCTGTCCACTGAGAAGATCTGGGACTAGTGGCGTCCCAATAGCAATGAACATACGTAGAGCTCATATTTTGGTTTCCTAATACCATCTTCCAGTAGAAGAAACCAGAGCTCCTTGGGAAGTGAATGATTTCAGGGATAGGGGCAGGGAAAGTGTAAGATGAGCCTGGGTTATCTTGTGACAGAGAGAAATAATGCGGGCTTGTTAAAGGGGAACTAAAGCCAGTTAGAATGGAGCCCTGCTGACCCAATCAGGGAAAACCTGAGTATCAAAATAAGATAGTGACAGATCATAACTTTATTATTTTATTGTATAACTTTATTATTATAGAATGAAATAGAAAACCACAAATCCATATAGATAAGAATAATTTGAAAATATGATGCCAATGGCATATTTACGTAGTGTCAAAGTACTTTGCCATACAATACTTAGTTACCCAAGGAAGAAGGGTGACTTTACATTGGAGAAGCCTGGAAGACACCACCTTGATCAAGAGATTAAAGTAAAGAAATGCGGCTGGGTGCGGTGGCACGCCTGTAATCCCAGCACTTTGGGAGGCTGAGGCAGGTGGCTCACCTGAGGTCAGGAATTCACGACCAGCCTGGACAATATGGTGAAACCCCATCCCTACTAAAAATACAAAAAATTAGCCCGACATGGTGGTGCATACCTGTAATCCCAGCGACTCGGGAGGCTGAGAGAGGAGAATTGCTTAAACCCAGGAGGCGGAGGTTGCAGTGAGCTGAGATTGTGCCATTGCACTCCAGCCTGGGTGACAGAGCAAGACTTCGTCTCAAAAAAATAAAAAGAATCCTTTTAAAAAAGTAAAGAAATGGAATCATTCACCACTTGGTGGGATGTAGTAACAAAAAGAGCATTACTTCTACATTTCTGTCAAGGATGCATAATATAAATCTAATCATAAGGAAATATAAGATAAAAGCAAACTGAGAGACATTTTGCAAAGTAACTGACCCACAGTTTTCAGAAGTGCCAATGTCAGGAAGTCAAAGACAGACTGAGTATGTTCTAGACTAAAGAAGACAAAGATTACATAAAACTAGGTGCAATGCATGATTTGTAACTGAATCCTTTAGCTATGAGGGAAATTATTGGGACAATTATAGAAACTTGAATGCATCTGTGGAGTGGATGGTGATGATATGTAAATGTTAACTTTCCAATTCAAGGGATGTGTTGTGATTATGTAGGAGAATGTCATTGTTTCAAGGAAATACTAAGTATTCTGGGGTAATAGGACATCAGGTTGGCAACTTATTCCCAAATGGTTTAGGAAAAAAAAATTCGGTACTGTGTTTGCAATTTATTTAGTAACTTTGGAGTTGTTTCAAAATTTTTTAAAAGAAAATTTGAGGGATAATGTTTCATTAGCTAACAAAAATGCCTTTTTTTTTTTGAGACGGAGTCTTGCTCTATTGCCCAGGCTGGAGTGCAGTGGCACAATCTCCTGGGCTCACTGCAAGCTCCACCCCCCAGGTTCACGCCATTCTCCTGCCTCAGCCTCCTGAGTAGCTGAGACTACAGGCCCCCGTCACCATGCCCGGCTATTTTTTTGCATTTTTAGTAGAGACAGGGTTTCACCGTGTTAGCCAGGATGGTCTCCATCTCATGACCTTGTGATCCGCCCACCTTGGCCTCCCAAAGTGCTGGGATTACAGGCATGAGCCACCGCGCCCGGCCAGTCTTTGCTTTTTGACTGATAGCACTTCTAGGTTCCTCCCTAATAATCAGACATCCAAATCTGTACCAATGAATGTCTTTGATCTATCTTAATAAAAGAGTTGGGTTGGGTGGGGGGAAGGAATAAATTAGGCATTCCTTACGCAGTTGGATAGATCAGTTTCCAATCTATGGAATTCCTGGGGGAAAAGAGGGCCTTAGGGATAGTAACAGCTAACAATTGCTAACAGCCTTCTATGTTCTAGGTGTTATTCTATTTTATATTTATTAACTCTGGGTTACTTTCTAAAACCCTACGGGACAGGTTTTATTAATATACATATTTAATGGACGAGGCTACATTGCTGGTAGGTAGCAGAGCCAAGGTTTCAAGCCCAGGCAGTTTGATTTCTGGGTTCATAATTACTTTATTGGTAATAACTATTTTGTTAATAGTAGTTAATACTTATCAAGTATTTACTATGTCCAAGGCACAGCACTATGTAACTTACCTTGTTTAATGTTTAAATAAGGTCTATCAATTAGGGTTTTCAGATAAGTAAAATCTGACCAATGACACCCAGTTAATAAGAGAAGAAGCAGGGATTCAAATCTGGGCCTATTTGACCCCAAAGCTTGTGTTTTAAGGTACCATACCATTAGGTTGGTCCAAAAGTAATTGCAGTTTTTGCCACTGAAAGTAATGGCAAAATTTGCAATTACTTTTGCACCAACCTATAGTTGTGTATCTGCTATTGGAAAAGACAGAGACCCTAGAACTCTATCCAATGCCTTTCATGGTTCCTCACGGCATCTGGATGTCAGACTCTTTGTGCAGCATCATAAAAAAAATAGATATGAGATTTGATCTTTGTCAGACTCTGTCAACAACTGCCACGTTTAAATGACCCAGTACTGTGAGTGGCTGGTCAGTTTGTCAGTGTATTTTTTAGCAACTTTTCCTAGCAGAAAACTGACTTTGAAGATCTCCCTCACAGCAGTGATCACATGCTCTTGTAATCCATCTTTTTCAAAGGCCAAGCTGATTAAAACCTCCTAACAGACAGCTAAGTTGCCTCCCGAATTTCCATCTAATAGGCTCAGAAGCAGCTGTACTTTGAAGCTTGTACTCAGATGCTGTCAGTTACAAAATGAAATGCCTGGGAAGACTTGATAAACAATTGTAAATAAGTGAAACTGACACCAAAGGTAGCTCTTCCTGTCATCTCAGAATTTCAACAGAGGCCCCAAAGTCCTAAAATATTATAATAGATGATGGGTATCCTCACATCCTAAAAAGAAGTCACAGAGCCCCTATTCAGGACTGAATAGGAAGGAAACAATAAAAGTGGTTCTACCAGCAAAATCACTTATATCCAGCCTATAAAAATACTGAATTGGAAGTATTTGGGGAGAGAACTCTCCAAAGTCCTTTGGAGAGAGTTGTGAGAGTGCTGTAGGGTCTCTTCTCTCCTTTCCTCTCAAGGTGGAGAGAAGGGGCTCACCACTTAATATTAAATTAGATAAGAGAGGGTTAATGGGGCCACACAGGGAATTTGTCCTGTGTCCCAGTGGGCTGAGGGATCATTAGGACTGGTGTGAGAGGCTATCAATGAACTATAACTTCTGCTGGGTAGAAGCCATCCTTTCACTGTTGATGGATCAGAGGTGTGTATTTTCTTAGCCCAGATATCAGCTACAACTAAGAGAGCTTGCCTGAAGCATCTTGGAAGTTTCTGTGCTTGAGGATGCCCGGAGGCACACAATCAGAGGACAGACCACCAGAGGCCCAGTGGCTGATGGGGAAACAAAAGGCCATCCCTCAGAGAATGCACTGATATCAGAAAGGGAATTTCCCTGCTGGAAACTCCCAAGAAAAACACACAAAAATGGTCCAAAATAGAAGTCACCCCAACACCAACTTCCAACAGCGCCAGCCACATAAAAAGATGCCCTTCTTGCGGATCACCTGAGATCGGGATTTCAAGACCAGCCTGACCAACATGAAGCAACCCTGTTTCTACTAAAAATACAAAATTAGCCAACTGTGGTGGCATGCACCTGTAATCTCAGCTACTCGGGAAGCTGAGGCAGGAGAATCACTTGAATCTGGGAGGCAGAGGTTGCAGTGATCTGAGATGACACCATTGCACTACAGCCTGGGCAACAAGGGTGAAACTCCATCACAAAAAAAAAAAAAAAAAGAAAGAAAGAAAAAGAAAGAAAAAAACCCCTTCTACTCTGATGCCCTCTTCATTTGGGCTGACCCTAAAGAAGAAACAAGAAGCAGGTTCCCAGTGGGTAGAAGGTGACCAAGAGAGAGATAAGGAGCCAACCACACCTTTCATCTCCATTGAGGGACAGCTTCCAAGCTGAGGGAGGGGAATGTGCTTAAATTTGAATTGTGTTTGGTTTTGTACCGCATTATTAGTTTGAACCATGTAAAGCCGTCATTTACATAGATCAAAAATATCAGAAATACTGGCAATTTCTTATGGTTCTACTTAAGACACTAGATTGGATTGGATAGTTTACTTAGCAAAATAAAATTATTCTTGAGAACAAAAAGAACTCAAAGGGCTATGGTACCTGCATGAGAGTTTCCTGCAGGGTTACAATAAGAATTAGCCTGCAGAGAAGGCTTGGAGACCAGTGGTAGAAAAAATTAAGCTATATTAGTTGCCCCCTGTCAAGTCCAGTTCATTCCATTTAATGGGAAACATGTAGATATATTTTCATGTCGGAAAAAAATAAAGCCTGGCTATATTCATGAGCTAATGTATTTTGCAATAGTGATTCTTTAATAAATTGAATGGTAAATACCGATTGAGACAGTACACTGTTTTAGGCCCCAAGAATATATACTAAAGTGAAGAAGAATATATACTAAAGTGAAGAAGAATATAAAGTGCTCTCTTTATATTCTTTCTGGGGATTTAGAAGGTAGGAGACCACCAGGAAGCAAAACTATAAATAAATAAACACAAGCTCATTCCAAGGTATAATACGTGCTATGAAGAAAACAAGTGGTGCATTCTGACAAAGATTATCTGGGATGTGGCAATCAGGGAAGGTCTGTCTAGGAGGTGACCTGTGAACTGAGACAGGAAGGAAGAAGGAATCAACTATTCAATAATAATAATAATTCAATCATAAAGATTATCCCAGGCAGAGGGAATAGCAAGTGCAAAGGCACCAGGCAGGTGTGAAGGACAGACAGGAGATAGATACAAATGGCAATAATCAAGCTCTTCCCTTTGACCATGATCTGCTGGAAGGCTGAACCATTTCCCCTTCATGTCAGTTTCCCCAGTCCCCAGTTTGGCACAACAGAGGTGCACGATTCAGTTATATTGAATGAACCTCATTTGTTCTGTTTGAGGAAACCCTGCCCAGACTTCAAATCCAATCTAACTCATGAGCAAATTTTACAACTAGACAGAGTTTGGATAGTAAGACGATGCACATATTAGTGCAAACCCAACCCCTTACTCAAAGCCCATGTTCTTCTGGCTGTGAATGAGTATCCATGTGACCTTTAAGTAAAAAGGAAAGTGGCACAAAGAGGAGATGAGGTAAGACAAAGGGACATACAGGAATAAAGGAACTCAGAAGCATGATCAACAGTAACTTTTTTTTTTTTTTTCTTCAGAGGGAGTCTCACTCTGTCACCCAGGCTGGAGTGCAGTGGAACAATCTCTGCTCACTGCAACCTCCGCCTCCTGGGTTCAAGTGATCCTCCTGCTTCAGCCTCCCGAGTAGCTGGGGCTATAGGCACACACCACCATGCCAGGCTAATTTTTGTATTTTTTTTTAGTAGAGGCAGGGTTTTGCCATGTTGGCCAGGCTGGTCTTGAACTCCTGACCTCAAGTGATCTGCTTGTGGCCTCCCAAAGTTCTGGAATTACAGGCATGAGCCACTGTACTCGGCCAACAATAACTTACGACTCTCCATGTTAATACAGACCTTCTCCCTCAATCACTCAGAACTGCTTTGGAAAGCAGATGCTACCCATTTCCTATCATAAGAAAACTGAGACTCAATAAGGATGAGTTACTGCCGAATATTGTGAATATTTCACACTAAAATGTGAAAAGACAGAATTTGAAATGAAGACTGGAGGACTCCAAGTCCTATGTCATTTTTAACTGTCACGTATGGCTTTAAGGTACAAGGAAAAATAAGCTCATGAGAAAATGGACCCACATAGGGTCAACCTCCTATATACCCATTATTTTATGTCATTAAACCTTCCTTCAAAAATCACAATATTTGCATTATAACACTGTCTTACTTAGGCTTCTCTAGGAAGCAGTTGCCAAAAGAAGCCCAGGACTCTTATTGGGGTAAGTGTCTAAGGAGGATAAAGGGAAGTGAGAGTAGGAATAGATGCAAAGATGCGAAGGTCTTAGACCACATACAGATCTGACAGCTTTGAAGGGAGAGTGGGAAGGAAGGGGGTCTCAGTAAGAAGAGTCTGGGATGTGGTGCAGCTCTGGGAAAGTCACAGCAGGGCTATTGGGTGTCCCAAAACAAAGATGTCCTCTTAAAAGAGTCCCACCATGGGCAGATATGGTACAACCCTAGTTCTCCTTGTGCTCCATCCTTGGCTGGGAATTAGCAGGAAAAGAGTGTGGCAACAATGCAAATCCTGCACTGGATCCTCAAGTTATGACTGGGGGCTGTCAGCCAACTTCACTCCTCTCTTCCCAGGTCCAGGGATGTAGGGTACTGCCATGGTTTAAATATGGTTTGTTTGTCCCCACTAAAACTCAAATTTAATCTTCAAGGTAGCAGTGTTGTGAGGTGGGACCTAGTGGGAGTGTTTGGGTGATGGGAGCAGGTCCCTCATGAATGGCTTGCTGCCATTCTCCCAGGAGGTAATGAGTGATTGGATTTGTTCTCAGGCAAATTAATTAGTTTCTGTGAGAGTGAGTTGCTATAAAGCCAAAATATCCCTCAGGTTTTTCCCTTCTTCACACGTGTCAGCTTCCCATTTGACCTTCTCAGCCATGTTGTGAGGCAGCACGAATGCCCTCATCAGAACCCAGGGCCAAGCCCTTGAACTTCCCAGACTGCAGAACCACAAGCTGAATAAACCTCTTTTTAAAATAAATCACTCGCTCTCAGATATTCTTTTACAGATGCACGAAAGAGAGTAAGCTGTGTATCTTTCTCCAAGGCACTCAATAATGGCGAGAGTTATTATTCTAACCCAAGTATATCCCAAACCAAAATGTTTCCTACCCTAATACCAGGACACAAAAGAAAGCAATGTAGATAAAAAGGTACTGCACATCTGGGGTCTCTCCCTAGTTCCTTCAGCACTTTCGTTCTCCCATGTTCTTTATCCTCACAGCCCTACTCAGCCCTATCTTTCAGCCTTTCCTTTCTCTTGTTCTAATCCCCAGCCATAAAAATTTCTCCCAGACATGTGACCATCTCAAGCTGTTTTCTGTCTCCATGGCTTTACACGTACTATTCCCCCATCTGGAAAATCCTTTCTAATCTTGTCTGCAATTAGCATTTATGATTGTTTATTTTCATTATCCATTTACATGTCTGCCCTCCCCACTTAACCAAATGCCTTAAGTTCAGGATCCTGTGTATGATGCAACTTTGTTTCTTCATCCCCTGGCCCATTACCAAACACATAATAAAAGCTCAGAGAGTATTTTTGGAATGAGTAAATGAACAAATAAATGAATACATGGCTATGATCACTCCCAAGAATCATTCCTGGGACTTTGGCCTTCCCTCTTATTCCTCATCCATGCAACCAGGAGGAGATGAAAGGTTTCTCCAAGCAGTTCCAATATGTCATTGTAACAACAGGACTTTCTACTGCTTATCAAGACCCAGTTCATCTCTACTTTGGTCCAGTCACACAGGGATGATGGCCGTTCTCTGCTCCCTTCATGTTAGAACTGGTCAGTAGGGCTTACTGTGAAGAATGAAATAGAAGCTGAAGTGGTGTGTGTCCCTCCATATTAAAAGTATTTCATTGCCAGGCTTCTCTTCTGCCAGAGAGCATCATAGAACCACATGTTGCCATGGAGGTGCCATAGATCAAGCCAGCCTGGGATGGGGAGCCGCCGCATGGAGGACAGCTGCTCTGGAGAGGTGCCCACACTAACAACAGACATTACAAAAGTGGGAAATACTCTTTTGTTGTGTTAAGGCATATGACAAAATTTGAGATTTGTTTGCTGCTGCTCTAACCCACTGCACTTGACTAACACAGGCATCGTCTCACAGAATGTGAGAACTAGCAAGCTAACCGTCATTTGCACACCCTCCTGCATGTCAGACATGAGTTTGCTCAATGACAGATTCCCAAGCCCCTCCTACAGAGTTTTGAAGTTCTCTAGGCCTGGACTAAGGTCTAGGAATCCGTGTTTTTATCAAACCTTTAGTGGCCAGTCAGGTGTGCAAGCATATTACAGAACCACTATATTGCAGAGTATTAAATAGGAAGTTTTTCTTCATATAAAAGGTTGCCCCGCTTGGTTTATTCCAAGGGATTTGCTCAAGGGATACTTTCATTGGTACTGCTAGGATCTGTATTAATACTATGGAATTTTCTAGTTCTTCCCATTCTGCCACATGGCGTTGAGTCCAGACTCTATCACTTATCAGCTGTGTGGCCTTGGACAAGTCACTTCACCTCTCTGAGCCTGCATCCTGGAATATAAAATGGATAACAATGCCACCTCTGCTAGGTTGTTGGGTAAATTAGGATGGGCCTGCTGCACTAAAAGCATTCAATAATTGCTCATCTATCATAAAGAGATTGCAGTCGAGAGAATCACACTAATGTGCTTGAAACCACACAGCAAGTTTGTGCTTACGGAGAGCATAGAAGGTAGGATTGCTTCTGCCTCCCTAGCTGCTGGTCTGTTAGCTGAGCCAGGAGCAGAACGTTCAGGTGAGAACGGGACTGGGGCATGGTCAAGAGCATCAGGCCAGCCCTGCTCTGCAGGGCACTGGGACAAGGCTGGCTAGCTGCCTGGCACATTGGTTCTCAGGTACCCGGTACTAAGTGAGAGCCTGCAGCCAGGCAGCGGGAGTGCAATCCCTCTGCAATTAAAATACTAATGGATTTTAAATGGAGCTGCTTCTTCAGCTGGCAAAAGCCAAGTTGCCTTCAGGTTGTAACAGAAGATAGAGAGGAAGGTAAAGCTTTTAAGCCCAATCCAAGAGCATTAATTTTAAACCACCCTAACTCTTCCTTTCAGCCTCCAGGCAATGTCTTTTCTAAAGGGCAGGTGGAGAGCTCAGACCACTGGGATTTGGAACGGTTTAGCTGTTCTCTTTCCACATCCAGGATCTTCTTTGGGGGCCTTCTGGCTGGGTTTAGTGGTCAGTTACTTGACAAACACATACGGAGCTATGAGTTAAGGGTTGGGCTGGGACTGGTGGGGTGGCCAAGGCATGCTGTGGTACTCCCCAGAGGGCTCTGGGCTGGGGGTTAGAACATTTCAGTTATGGTCCCAGCTCTGCCACTTACTAGCTGTGGGACCTTAGAATGGTCACTTCCTCTCTCCATCTCTCTTCATCTATAAAATAATAGAAAGGCTTCGGGATGACTGGATCAGATAATAATAGGCAACATTTATTTAGCGCTTACCACATTTTCCTGGCCTTGTTATATAGGCCTTACAGTTATGGACTTACTTCTGACAGCAACTTATTCCATCATTCCCAATTTACAGATGAGTAAACTGAAGCACAGGAAATTTAAATCACTTTCTAGAAGGTACACATTGAACAAGCACAAGAGCCCTCATATTCTCAACTGTTACATTCTGGCTTTCAAGAATCTGTGAACACTGCCCTATTCTGGGTGTCCAGACTGCCTGACTTGAGACTTGAACAGGCTATGGTTCCAAGGAGAAGAGCTGAATCTCCTGTTCTCAGAATTTTCTTTCTTTTTTTTTTTTTTTTTTTTTTTTTTTTTTGTGAGACAAAGTCTTGCTCTGGAGTGCAGTGGCATGATCTTGGCTCACTGAAACCTCTGCCTCCCGGGTTCAAGTGATTCTCCTGCCTCAGCCTCCTGAGTAGCTGGGATTACAGGCGCCTGTCACCACATCCAGCTGCTTTTTGTATTTTTAATAGAGGCGAGGTTTCACCATGTTGGCCATGCTGGTCTCGAACTCCTGACCTCAGGTGATCCACCTGCCTCAGCCTCCCAAAGTGCTGGGATTACAGGCACGAGCCACTGCACCCGGCCCTTCTTCCTTATTATATACAAAAGACCATCATCAAAAATTTAATATTGTGTACAATGGCCTGAAACAGACTTCAGAGTAAGAGAGGGTGGACCAGGAAAGTTTCCAGTGGTGTCAAAAGGCTTCACGTCAAAGCTGAGATTAGACTCAGTCTCTGAAGGGTAGGCAGGACTTGGATAAAGGAAGGAAGAGGAGGCAGATATTTCTAGTAATAAATATGCATCACCAAAAAGAGGTTAGAATGTATATGGTGTCCAAGCCAGAGATTATGTCTGGCCACCCTGTCCCTGTCTTATAACCATTCATTCTCTTGGAAACTGTACCATCCTTCAAGGTTCAGGTCCAGAATCATCTATTTTTCAACTTTTCATTTTTTTAACTCCTTCTCTTTATTTCATCCCCATTTGCCCAACACAGATTTGGCTGCCATCATCTCTGTAATACCTTGTCGCTCCCGCTGAACTGTGAGTTCCTTGAGGACAGAGAAGGGACTCTGTATCTCTTTCCCATCTCTACATCCTCAGGTCACAGAGCCTGGCACAACGTGGTAAGCAATAGATGACTTTAAACCAGAGGTAATATTTACACCAAATGAGACTGGGAGATGGTGATGCCTGGCTGGCCATCAGAAAAGTTTGGGTTTGATCTGAATATAGACAGGGAGGCTGAATGATCTTGGGCAGAGAAGTGGCCCCATAAAATTTGTGTTCTATGAAAGCCATATCAAAGCAACCAAGACTTAGAGTGAGCCAGTGACCTATGCCCTCTTAATATGGATTTAATATCAAAAGAAGACGAGAAACAGAAGGTTCACATTCTGTACCTTTACCTCGTTATTGATAAAGATGAGGGTGATGGTCATGATGACACTGATGGTAGTGATGGGCCGATTTTGTCTTTTGGGTGCTTCTCATCCCAGAATCTTTTTCCCTAAGCCAGGCATTTTTTTGGTCTTCTTTCTCCTTAATATTCCTCTCTGCCACCTCTCATTCCACATTCAGGTTATAGGACAATCCCTTTCACATAGAAGATTAAAAATGAAGACAGGGAAGATGCTTTCTATAGTGTCCGGACTAAGTAAATTTTAGGGCAAAGCATCTAATCAAATATTTCCAGGAAAAAAATATGTTTTAAAAATTATCCAGGTAGCCTATGTTAACATTATACCACTCTTGAAAGGCAAGAATTCATGTAACTAATCAAACATCCTCCAGCTACATGAGAAACACAGGAAAAGGTTAAAAGAAAGATGGATTCTAAACCTAGAAGTCTAGAAGTGCCCAGAATATATTTTCCAAAAAGAGAAAACAGATAGAACTCAAGGTGAATTCGAATTAAGGGCATTGAGGTCATTTAAACAAGACGGAAGATACCCAAAACTTCTCAGATTCTAGCATTGGGCACAAGAATTAGCAGGCACTTAAAACTTCTATTAGCAAAACTAGAAAAACAAGCAAAAGAATAACCATTTAAGAATAATTAGATGAGTCTCCCTAGCTGAAGAAACAAGGAATTGAAATTGTAGGGACATTTAAACCTTCAGAATGTAATTGTCTAGGTCTTAAAAAGTGTCTCCAGGATCTGAGAGATAAAGTCCAAGCTCTGAAATAACAAACACGCACTTGTTGCTATAGCACATGGCTCTGCTGCAAACAAAGCCACCTATATTTTAGGCTCTCATAAAGTATCTTACAGGTTCTGAAGAAGATCTGCTTCTTATTTGAGACACCACATAACAAGACAGATTTCTATTTTCCTTTAACCTTACCTGTGTCTTATTGGCCTATTTTGGCTTCCAAGACCTGGCTGTCAAGACAGGATTCCTCATTAAGACAACACAGTACAGTTTCAGGTCCCCAGGTGAGTTGGCACCTGACAACCTACATCCCAGTGAGTCAAGGGAGATTGCTAAAATCAAATGACATTCACTCAATCATAGATACATTCCTTCCCTCTTCCTCTACCACTCATTACCACACACCCTTCAGGCACATACTTACATCTCACCACACACTCATACACACATGGTACACAATCACACACAAAGCATATCACTCCTCTATTAACTTACAGATCACGAGACACCTAATCCCATTTGTACCATCATGGTAGATTTCCCACCATCATTTTACATATACTCACATGCACAGACACTCTCCATCACATCATCCTCCACATTCATTGATTCATATGCTATGTATACTGTTCTAAAAATTGAAAGACACCAGCATATAAGATAGGTCTTGCTCTCAGGGAGCTTATATTCCAGTGGATCAGATAGCAAGCAAATAAATAATTACATAAAGGAGATAGATTTAGAGTGTTGTAAGTATAAATAAGAAATTTAAACACGGTAATGTCAGAGAAAGAGACGGAGAGAGAAGTGCTGAGCAGGATACACCAACTCCACCCCTACCACTCATGTGCATCACACCCCAGACCCCTCCACAGCAAACAGACTCACATACATGCTCTGTACATACATGCACAGATATACTTGCCTACACAATGGCATGTTATCAACAACTATGGTTATTAACCCATACCCTACTGTCTCCTGCAGACAAATAACTACACACTCAACTCCTTCCCTACCATACCCTGCAACTCATCTCCCACTCACACTCCTAACTGTTCATATACCAATAGACCAGAATCACTGTCACACACACGTACTCCCCATTACGTCTAACCTCTTCTGACACCTCACATACACTTATACGTAGATATACCCACATGTGATTTCCCACAACCACGCTTAAATTTCACCTACATGCAACATTGCCCCATATGTACCACACACCTATGCTGTGCACTCTGGTACCAATAAATAATCCATACCCTTGTCTACACAAAAACACACACTTCATACACACCACACACACACACACACACAGCAGATCTTACATTTAGTCTCATTTGGCTTGATGAGGGAGTGCATCTGGTCTTGTTTACCAACTTACTTTAAGAAACACCACAACCCCTACGACTTCATTACTCCAGCCCCAAGGACCATTCAGTCTGTGGTTCTGTTAAGAAAAGACATAATTGACTCTACTCTCAGATTAGGTGATATCTGTATATGGTGACAGGGGAAACAAACAAACAAACAAAAACTTTATTTGATTGAGACTCAAGTCAGAAACTTTTTGTCATTTCCCCTGAAGTCAAAGCCATAGGAATTTGCCTCTTTCTTTTCCCCAACCCCTGCTTCTAAAGTTTCTTATCTGCCACTGGCCACTCACTATTGGAAACAAAGGCTACTCCAAATAGATATCTCCTGGAGCCCATGATGTGGTATTTCAGCTAACTCTACAATGAATGAAATACTTAGTAGCTTCTTTGCTCATCAAGATGGTGGAGGGAGGTTGGGATGATTCAAGAGGACACAATTGAGGTCACTCCTAATATACCATATATATATGTGTGTGTATATATAAAATAAAGTATATATAAAAAAGTGTGTGTGCACACACGCACACACTTTTTTTTTTTTTTTTTTTTTTAGAGCCAGAGTCTCACTCTGTCTCCCAGGCTGGAGTGCAGTGGAATTATCACAGCTCATTGTAGCCTCAACCTCCTGGTCTCAAGCGATCCTCCCACTTCAGCCTCCTGAGTAGATTTGATCACAGGTGTGTGCCACCATGCCCTGCTACTTTTAAAATTTTTTTTCAGAGACTGGATCTCCCAACGTTGCCCAGGTTGGTCTCAAACTCCTGGACTCAAGAGATCCTCCTGACTCAGCCTCCCAAAGTACTGAAGTACAAGTATGAGCCACTGTGCCCAGGCTGGTTTTTCAGTTTTCTACTGCTTAGTGGCTTATCAAAACATTCACTTATTATCTTGCAGATCTGTAGGTTGGGGTCCCAGCATGGTGTTACTGGATTCTCTGCTTTGGACCTCAAAGGCTAAAATCAATGTATCAGCCAAGCTGAAGTCTCATCTGGAGCTTTTAGGGGAAGAATGCTTTTCCAAGCTCACTCATAGCTTGGAGTCTAATTCCTTGCTACTGTGGGACTGAGGTTCTCATTTTCTTCCAGGGGCTGCTCTCAGCTCCTAAAAGCCCTCCGCATTCCAGGACTTATGGGCTCTTCCATCTGCCTCCCATCAAATTCCTCTCACACTTCATGTCTCTAACCCCTAGACTCAGATTTTAAATCTGGTCTTGTGTGATTCTGTCAGGCCAACTAAGATAATATCTCTATACTTAGGTCAACTGATTTGGGACCTTAATTATAGCTGCAAAATCTCTTCCCAACAGTTCCTAGATTAGATTTTGACTGAGCAACTGGGAGAAGGTGTGTATATACCATGGACTAGAAATCTTGGGGGTAATATTAGAATTCTGCTTCCACACCCTGGCAGTTGGTACCTGGCCTGTACAAATAGCTCATTCTTCCAGGGTCTCCCCTGGCTCTCTCTCAGCCAAATATCTCCATTTCCATTTTGATTTTAGCTTTTGGCTTGATTCCATTCTTAACTAGTCACTGTGCTGAGGCCTCAGAGTGATCTCTCCTTTATATATCCTGCCTTCAAATATTTGGCAATGTTTAGCACATCTCTCTCAGCCACCATTTTGCTTCATCTCACAAAAGCCAGCTCTTTGATTTGTCCTCATAATGTACTCTTGATAGCCTTTCTTCTCCTAATTCTGGCCCAGGTATTCCAAGAACCATGAAATGTCAGCCCTCAAATGGCACATAAAAATCACTAAGTCCAAGTCTCTCATTTTTCTATTAGGAAAGTTCAGGTTGCCAGAGAGGTTGCCCAAGGTCAAAAGCAAAGAGGCTGCAGCATCTTAGAGTCTTAGCCAGTTCAGATCTGTATACCCTGCTGGGTGATCTGTATACCCTGCTGGGTGAATACATGAATCTTCACATCAAATAGATCAGAACAGCCAGTGACAGGAAGGGAGAAAGAAACTAATATTTGTTGATACAGACACTGGGCTGGGCATTTAGTATACCACATCTTAAATTTTCATAATAACACCGTGAGTCAGTGGTTTTCAGCGGGCACAATTTTTCCTCCCCCTCCTAGGAGACATTTGGAAACATCTGGCGGGATTTTTGGTTGTCACAACTGGGAGACTGCAATTGGCATCTAGTAGGCGGAGACTAGGGATGCTGCTAAACATCCTACAGCATACAGGGCAACTCAAACACAACAAAGAACTATCTGGTCCCAAATTCCAATAGTGCCAAGGCAAAAAAAAACCCTGCTTTGAGTTAAAGCCTGTTCTCTCCACTTTGTATATCCCCTATGATGCTCAAACTGCATCGTATTTTAGCCACAGGTGGGTTGTAACAACAATAGTAATCACTTTTGTTGCATAGGCTGTTACCTATCCCCTGCCTCAAGCCAAAAAGTGTCAATTTCCCTCAATGATGACTTATATGTGCTCATGAATGGTATCTGGGCATCTCAAGAGACCTGAAAAACTCTTCTGCTTTGACCTCTCAGGAATTTCTTCTCACCAGGACAGTGCATGCTGCGGCACTCCATGATGGTACCTCATCCCTGCCTCTGATGCCCAGTGCCAATCACCCTTCTGCCGGCACAGTTACAACCTCGACTGCGTAGTTGACACAATGCAACCCTCCAAGTTCCAGAATGATGCTTCTTTTCTAGGAGCTCCCAGAGAGCCAAAGCCTTGAGTGTCCCACACAGAACAGATTCCCTCTCCCCAGCCTGGCATCCCTCTTGGTCATCCCAGCACCAAGAGGACTGTCTGAGCACCAATGTCTCAAGAAGACTTTTGATGACAACAGTGGAAACCATTTCTTCAGCTTCTCTTTACATTGTTTCTTTCTCTAGAATCTGCATGCAGGATTTTCCCTCTGGATTAAATGACCAATCTCTGAGACAGACACCCATTTTCTTCTCCCAACCTTCCTCCCCATCATTCATGCACTGATTGTGTTTCTTCCACCAAAGGCTTTAAGTAAGTTGACTTGTGAAAACTTCATCCCAGAGTGTCTACCTTACTAGTCCTTTATAACTGCCTATTGCAGGCATTTTTTTCAGGTCAAATGTGGGATGTCTGCTACATACCAAAAAGGAAACTGGGACTCAGAAAGGTTAGGAAATGTGCCTGAAAACATATAATAGACATATATTGGACCAAGATTATATCTTGCTATGAAACCTGTCCTAAGGGCATCTACCTCTTTCAGCAGAGGTAAATTCAACTGCTTTGCCCTGAATATGAGAGAATAGCACATTCACCTTCCATTAATTCATGCAACAATGACGAGACTCCTCTTAAAGCCAGATTATATAAAATAAATAGCTAAAAAGATTTCGGCCTCTCCTCTGTGCCTTGTGTTTCATTGTACTAACATTTCTTTTTTTCATATTATTTATCCTCAAATGTGAGTCACATTTAAAAAAAGGCCAGTTGCTTAAATCTGTTCAGAGACAGGGCAAGCCCATTTCTATGTGTGTGCTAACCCAAGCTGTTGCATCTGACTTTTCTAAAGTTTATTTCAACCTTTTCTCCAAAGTTTGGGGTCATTCTCTTCCTTCAGGAGAGCTGTATTTTTCATCAAGCCAGAGCCCACCCACCTCACCTCTCCATCTCTGGGGGTTCTAACTGCTGCCATGTTGTTCTACTAGCCTTCTGGTTGAGCCAAGCCCAGGCATTTCCTTCTAACAAGGTTCTCTGGGCTTCCTCTCCCCATTTAGTGAGCCCTTTCCAGACCAGTTCCCATGGGAACAGTGGTCCACATTGCCGAGACACCAGCTGAGGGGAAGGAAGCCTTCTGTGGCCAGAGTATCAAGATCTCTCCATGAAAAATCATCAGGACACAGAGTGGGCTGAGGCTCAACATTCTGAGCTCCCTCTGCCTTTTCCTAACCCCATGGCTACCAAGCCTGCTACACATTAATATCACCTAAAGGGAGTTGGATTCTATTAGTCAGAAGTGGGACCCAGGGATTGGCAATTTTTTGTGATTTTTATCACAAAATTTTAGGTAATTTAGGTAATTCTAATGTTTAGCCAAGTCTGGAAACCACTGTTACAACCAATTAGCAATCCTACCAAAATATCCTGCAACCTAAGAAATTTCTGGTTTCATTTATCAAACAAGGCCTCCCACTGATGAAAGTTAGGGCCAGGCAAAATGATCCCATTGCAAAATCCAATGCCTTTGTCTTTTCGCGCATTCACTTGCTCACAGCTGATTATCAAGGACCTATCATGAGTCAGATGATATTTTTGGGTAACAGTTCATCAAAGGACAATAGTTCTTGGTGAGAAGACATCTACAAGAGCCCTCTGTATAGGTCCTGCTCACTCTGGACAATGTAAACCTAGCTCTAATGCTCCGTGTAGACACCCAAGTATTGACAAGTGAGAGTACTCAGGGAATTTGGATTTTAGATGTCACACGTGGAGTGGGGGATAGGAGTAGATGAAACAGTTGGTGATCTCGTGGAGGTTCATGGACGCTTATAGTATTATAAAAGTAAAGGTATATAACCATGCATGGCGATGATGACGATGTATCATGAACAGAAAATTATGACTAATCCAATTCTGGTCAACTATGATCTATTAGGAAAAAACAATCATTATTTTTCTAACAATTATGAAAGGTTCTGTTGGGAATCATTGGATCCAGACTTTAGAATGAGAACTAAGGGCAATTTATTCTATGTCCTTGTATATTTTGCATTACAAAGGCTATGTGGTGATAGTTCTAGAGTCACTTTCCCAAAAGTTCTTAAAAGCTATTAGCATCACATTTTTTTTCAGTAGAAAATAAGTTAGAAAAAAGTAGGATGTCAAACAAATGCATTGTATAAAATTAGACAATGCAGAATGAATAGAATAACAGAAAAAGACCCTTAATTCTAATATTTACTATAGGCATTGTTAAAATGTTGCCGTATGTAACTTCCTTTCTCTGTGTGATTGTGTGTCTATATAAAGATTCTATGGCCTGTATTTTTAATTTAACACTCTAAGTAATTTCCTCTATCATTAAATATTTTAAAATAATCTACATCAACAAGTATTTAAATGTGTGTGCCAGTTATGTATCTGACACTAGGTTTGGCTCTGGGGATCTGAAGGTGAGACAACAGACGTAGTTCTTGTCCTCATGAAACTTAGCATCTCGTTGGGGGCAGTAACCACAGGATCATATGGATAAATGTAAGGAGACAACTACAGTAAAAGCTGTGATGCTAAAATTTATGACTCCATGAGCTCACACATGGAGATGGCAAGGGATATGGGTGTTGGGAGGCATGATGGGTAAAGAGCATCAAAGGTGGGTTGAAGTGAGTCCCCCATAAAGATATGTCCAAGACCTAACCCCAGTACCTTTGAAAGTGACCTTATTTAGAAATAGGATCTTTGCAGATGTTAGGGACCTTGTATTAGTCCATTTTCATGCTGCTGATAAAGACATACCGAGATTGGGCAATGTACAAAAGAAAGAGGTTTAATTGGACTCACAATTCCACGTGGCTGGGGGGCTCTCACAATCATGGCAGAAGGAAGAGCAAGTCACATCTTGCATGGATGGTGGCAGGCAAAGAGAGAGTTTGTGCCGGCAAACTCCCATTTTCAAAGCCATCAGTGCTCACGAGAACAGCACAGGAAAGACCCACTCTCATAATTCAATCACCTCCCACTGGGTTCCTCCCACAACACATGGGAATTGTCGGAGGTCCAATTCAAGATGAGATTTGGGTGGGGACACAGCCAAACCATATCATTCTGCCCCGGGCCCCTCCCAAATCTCATGTCCTCACTTTTCAAAACCAATCATGTCTTCCCAACAGTCCCCCAAAGTCTTAACTCATTTCAGTATTAGCTCAAAAATCCACAGTCCAATGTCTCATCTGAGACAAGGCAAGTCCCTTCCACCTATGAGCCTGTAAAATCAAAATCAAGTTAGCTACTTCCTAGATACTATGGGGGTACAGGCATTAAATAAATACAGTCATTCCAAATGGGAGATTTTGGCCAAAACAAAGGGGCTACAGACCCCATGCAAGTCCAAAATCTCAAATGATCTCCTTTGACTCCATGTCTCACATCCAGGTCACGCTGATGCAAGAGGTGCGTTCCCATGGTCTTGGGCAGCTCCACCACTGTGGTTTCTCTGGGTACAGCCTCCCTCCCAGCTGCTTTCATGTGCTGGTGTTGAGTGTCTACAGCTTTTCCAGGCATACAGGGTGCAAGCTGTTAGTGGATCTGGTGTCTGGAGGATGGTGGCCCTCTTCTCACAGCTCCACTAAGTGATGCTCCAGTAGGGACTCTGTGTGGGGGCTCCGACCCCACATTTCTCTTCCATACTGCCCTAGCAGAGGTCCTCCATGAGAATCCTCAAGAGAGATCATTCTGGATTAAGGTTACGCCCTGAGTCCACTGACTACTGTCCTTATCAGAGAGAAGAGGGAGCAATTTGAAACACAGAGGCACAGAGAATAAGGCCACATAAACACAGAAGGAGAGAGTGGAGTTAGGAGGCCCCAAGCTGAGGAGTATGAAGGGTTGCCAGCAGCCACCAAAATTCAGAGCCTCCAGAAGAATCCAACCCTACTGAAGCCTTAATTTTAGATTTTCATTCTCTAAAACTGTGAGAGAAGAAACTCCTGCTGTTTTAAGCTACCCAGTTTGATACAGCAGTCCCAGGAAATGAATACAAGGACTTTCCTGAGGGAATGCCCTGCCATCAGGAATCTGAAGAATGGGAAGAAGTTACTGAGGAAGAATTCCAGGCAGAGGAACCATATGGCTCAAGAAACCTGTGCTGAAAGGCCGACGGGTGGATTTCAGGAACTCAAAGGAAACCGGTGTAGCCAAAGAGCAGAGCATAGAAGTGTGACTAGATACACAAAAGTTCATTTTGTAGTGTTTGTAAGGATCACGGTCTTTATCCACAGAGCCATGAGAAGTCATTGCAAGTCTTAACAGTGCAGAGGGTCGGGAGGCTGGAGTGTGGAGAACTGCTGGGGATGAAATGTGAGTGTGGGAGCCAGTCAGAAGGCAGGACCCAGGAAGGAGATGAGAGGTTACATGAATTACATCATTTCATCCTCACAATGACCTTAAGTAGCAGATATCATTATTGCCCACCTCTGGGGTTTAAACCCACAGAGTCTGGACCCTGGAGTTCACCCTCTTAAGAGTTATAAGTGAGATGACTGCAAAGATAGAGATGAATGAACAGAATCCAGAAAGACTCATTGAAGGGCAGATGGAGTTCTGGTAGAAGGACAGCATATGAGAGCACATTCCAGGAAAGAAGAAAGTGGTTTGTGCAATAAAGAGGAAAAGGCATGGCATATTCCCACAAGCATGAGGGCCAGGGTGACTGGAGTAGAGGCTGTAGATGCCACTAACATCGCCAAAAGAAGGTAGTTGCAAAGATTGTGGCCTAGAAAATGTCACCACATTTTCTCTGTGTGTGTGTGTGTGTGTGTGTGTGTTTGAAGAACATTTAACATACAACCTACCCTTTTAACAAATATATTTTGCAAAATACAATGCTGTTACCTATACACATTATGTTACGCAGCAGATTTCTAGAACTTGCTTATCCTGCATAACTGAAACTTTACTCTTATTAACCACAACTCCACATCTACCCTTTCCCCCAGCCCCTGGCAGGCAAACTCCTTTCCCACAGCCCCTGGCAAATTTCATTCTACTCTATGTTTCTGAGTTTGACTCTTTTAGACAACTCGTATAAGTGGAATCACACAATATTTGTCTTTCTATAACTAGCTTATTTCACTTAGCATACTTTCCTCCAGGTTCATCCATGTTGCTGCTTGTGAGAGCATTTACTTCCTTATTAAGGCTGAATAGTATTCCATTGTATGCTCATACCACATTTTCTTTATTCATTTGTCCATTGATGGACAGTTAGGTTGGTTCAGTATCTTGGCTATTATGAATAATGCTCCAATGAACGTTGGAGTGGAGCGGAGGTATCTCCTCAAGATCCTGATTTTAATTCTTTTGTACATATACTCAGAAGTGATATTACTGAATCATATGGTAGTTGTATTTTTAATGTTTTGAGGAAGCTCCATATTGTTTTTCATACAGGCTGTACCATCTTACGTTCCCACCCACATTATATAAGGGTTCTAATTTCTCCGTATCCTAGCTAACATTTATCTTTTGTTTTAGATTAGTCATCATTATATTAATTATATTATATATGCTTTTATATGTGAGGTGATATCTCATTATGGTTTTCATTTGAATTTTCCTAATCATTAATGATGTCGAGATCTTTTCATATGCCTGTTGGTCATTTGTGTGTCTTTGAAGAAATGTCTGTCCAAGTCCTTTGCCCATTTTTAAATAACATCGTTAGGTTTTGTTTTGGTTTGGTTTGGCTATTGACTTGTAAGAATTCCAGACATATTTTGGAGATTTACCCCTTATTGAACATGTGATTTGCAAATATTTCTTCTCATTCTGTGATCTACAGATTCAATGCAATCTCTTACAAAACCCCAATGGCATTTGTTCTTACAGAAATAGAAAAAACAATCTTAAAATTCATATAAAACTACGAAAGATGATGAATAGCCAAAGCAAACTCGAGAAAAAAGAACAAAGCTAGAGAATCACATTTCACTATTTCAAAATACATTACAAAGCTTCAGTAATTAAAATAGTGTTGTACTAGAATTAAAAAAAAAACAGATATATAGACCAATGGAATAGAGAACCCAGAAATAAACCTATACATGTATAGTGAACTGATTTTTGACAAGGGTGCCAAGAATACATAATGGGGAAAGAATAGTCTCTTCAATAAATGGTACTGGGAAAACTAGATATTCACATTCAAAAGAATGAAATTGGACCCTTATCTTATACCACATGCAAAAACCAACTCAGCATGGATTAAAGATTTAAATGTAAGACATGCAACTATAAAACTCCTAGAAGAAGAAACATAGAAGGAAACTTCATGACATTGGTCTTGGCAACAATTTCTTGGGTATGTTACCAAAAGCACAGACAACAAAAGCAAAAATAGACAAGCAGGGCTACGACAAACTAAAAACCTTCTGTATAGCAAAGGAAACAATCCACAAAGTGTAAATAAACCTCACTAGACTGTAAACATGAGTGCTTCCATTAAACATTTGAGGCCAATGCAGGGTGTTAAGAAAAGGAAAAAAAGAACAAATTGAGATCCAAGAGAGGAAGACAGGGAAAAAATTTCCCCCTCGTCTTCTCTGGTAAAAACTCTCTCTTCTTTTTCATTTCTTCCTTCCTCCTTTCTGTGTCATTTAAGAAAAGAGCCAGGAGATTTATTGAGCTACAGAGGTTGAGTCAGGAAGCCATGTAGCATGCCATACACTCAAATAAATCACAAAGCTTAAGCCATTTGAGCTGCCAGAAAGTTTCTACCTGGGATCTACTACAAACATGTTTATACTCACATAGTAGCCACTTTTGGAGATTTATTCACAGCCTGCTCCCCTGAAAGTCATCCCCTTGTGATCCTTTCAGTGAATGCTCAGGGTAGAGAGAAAAATGTGGGAGAATAAGGGGGGAAAGGGTGTGAAAAAAGCTGGTCATATCCAGGTCATGTGACTAAAGGGTCTCCCACAGAACAATCCTTAGAGTCAAATGACTGGAAGAGACCTCCATCATCTGTTCCAAACCCCTCCATTCACAGATGTGGAAGCTGAGGCTTAGCAAGAAGTAACTTTCCTATGACCTTTCAGTAGATGTGTGGGAGGGATTTGCTCAAAGTCACCTAGTAAGACATTGTGAGACCCAAGGTTAAAATCCCTAGTAAATTCCTTTAAGTTCTACCAGGAGGTATTTATATGTGAAAATGTGATACTTATCTCCTCTGTAGAATTATAAATTATGGTTAAATTTTAAATTATATAATTATATTCCCGTTCAGATGAGAGTTTCTGGAGGTCAGAGACATCTCTTTTGTCCACATATTCTAGTACTTGGCATGTAATTGCAACTAAGTGAGCAATAAATGAGTGGATGGCTGTATAGATAAATGGATGGATGGATGGATGAATGGATGGATGGGTGAGTAGATTTAAGCAGAAGCTTTCTCCTATCTCCCTCTCAAAATGAGACTTGTCTTTGGGACTTCTTTAGAGCTTTCAAAGGTTCTAAGCAGTGCCTAGGGTTGAGCTAGAGAAGACTGCAAAATTCAATGAATTTACTTATGACACCTTAATTTTACCTTGGTCAGCATGTCTGTCTCACAGAACTCACTCATATCCTCATAAATCTATGGATAGAAAACTTCCCACTATGCAACATCATCTGGACCTGTTTTCTTCATCTGTTGCTTATATGCTGGATCCTTGGTGAGCACCTGTTTTTCATCAAAACTTATCTAACCTTTCTTCCATCTTCCATTCCCTCATCTTTTTTTTTTTTTTTTTTTTTTTTTTTTTTTGAGATGGAGTCTCGCTCTTGTCACCCATGTTGGAGTGCAGTGGCATGATCTCGGCTTACTGCAACCTCTGCCTCCCGGGTTCAAGCGATTCTCCTGCCTCGGCCTCCTGAGTAGCTGGGATTACAGGGGCCCACCATCAGGACCGGCTAATTTTGTACTTTTAGTAGAGACGGGGTTTCGTGGCTGGTCTTGAACACCTGACCTCAGGTGATTAGCCTGCCTCAGCCCCCCAAAGTGCTGGGCTTACAGGCGTGAGACACCATGCCCAGCCTCCCTCATCTCTTTATTAATTTTTCTCTGCAAAGATAAACTTGGTCATCATCAACACCTTTATCCTTTTCATTGTGTCAGTGTAAAATCTTAGGGTCACCTTGGACTCTTATCTGAAATTCAACAGTTAAAGTGTTATTAAAGCCACTTGCTCTTACCTTCTACAGCATCCCTCTATTCTTCTGTTCTTTCCTATCTCTGGTACCATTAACCTATTTCAGGCCTTCATTCCTTTTCTCCTCATCATTACAGTGACAACTTAACTGGAATTTTACCCTATCTCTCTCTTGTCTTACCTTGATTTATTTGGTCCAGCACTAAAGTGATAATTTTTCTGGTCATATCACTCACTCCCCACCCTACACTCTCACATACACACACTTATACTCACACATACCTTCACTTACCTTCACATTTTCTTCTAGCCTCAGTCTCACCATTTGCAAAATAGGGTCAGTAATAACTCTCAAGAGTTTTGGTGCCATGTAACTGAGACAATAACAACATACACCATCATTATTAGATATCTAATATGAAGGAGGCCCTGCACCATGAGCTTGGCAGTACTATGCCATCTGTTTCTCAGAGTAGTCCCAGAAGACAGATATCTTTTGCCTTCATTACATAAATGAAGACCCTGAGGCAGAGAGTAGTTAAATAAGTTGCCTAAGTTTAAGTAATAGGTTCTGAAGTCAAACCCAAGCAGTCTCTCTTGGGAGCCATTGCACTCGCTGCTAAAGAATACCACTTATACTCTATATAAAGCACCTGTCAAACTGCCCGGCAAGATTAGGTGCTCATTTAATATTTTCAGTCATATCCTCCCAAAAATATTGATAGCATTGAAGTAGATCTTTAATATGTAGTTGAATTAATATGCACTTGAATTAAATGCAATTGAGGTTGGAACTCCCAATTTCATCCAAGTTAGAGTAGCTTGCATCAGATCAACTCTCTTGCCAAGAACAACTATAAAAGCTGAATCAACAACAATGACAATAACCACCACAACAGCAGCTGTTTGAGGGCACTGGAGAGCTACCAAGACAGCCAAGGTGTGAGGTGCCAAGGTCCTGGAGAGAAAAGAAATGCAGCGGGAGAAGCTCAACAATTTTGGCTGCTTTTTCCCTAAAAGAATTTGTTGATTTTTTTTTTTCCCACAGGGGAGTAATAGGCTTAGCTTTTCACAGGTTTATGGGTCTGGAGAGACAAACATTGGAGTTCATAGCTACCAAGTCATCTGGGACATGAGGGACCAAGGGCTTTGTTCAAAGATTTCTTTTGTCGGCCCGGCGCGGTGGCTCACACCTATAATCCCAGCACTTTTGGAGGCCAAGGCGGGCGGATCACGAGGTCAGGAGATCGAGACCATCCTGGCTATTACGGTGAAACCCCATCTCTATTAAAAATACAAAACATTAGCCGGGCGAGGTGGTGGGCGCCTGTAGTTCCAGCTACTCGGGAGGCTGAGGTAGGAGAATGGTGTGAACCCAGGAGGCGGAGCTTGCAGTGAGCCGAGATCACGCCACTGCACTCCAGCCTGGGCAACAGAGTGAGACTCCGTCTCAAAAAAAAAAAAAAAAAAAAAAAAAAAAAGATTTCTTTTATCAAGGAGTTTAGACCCAAATATCTCAACACTGCCCACTTGTGCTTCCAGCTCAGGGCTAATTTGTCATGCATGAAAGCACCTCTAGAGAGACATCTTCCTTTTTCCCCTCCTTTCCCACAGCTTATCCATCTCAAATTCCTGTTGCTCCTGCCTCTTCAATATTTCTCTAATCTGCCTTTCCTCTCCATCTCTAAAACCCAAGGTTGCTGCCTTGAATTGCTCAGATCTTCATTATCCCTCTCCTAGATGACTAGCCATCTCCCTACCCAGACTCTCCCTCCTCTAAGCTATTTTTTTTTTCAAGATGGAGTCTTGCTCTGTCACCCTGGCTGGAGTGCAGTGGTGCAGTCTCAGCTCACTGCAACCTCTGCCTCCCAAGTTCAAGCAATTCTCCTGCCTCAGCCTCCCAAGTAGCTGGGATTACAGGCACACACCACCACGCCCAGCTAATTTTTGTATTTTTAGTAGGGATAGGATTTCACCATGTTGGCCAGGATGGTCTCAAACTCCTGATCTCGTGATATGCCCACCTTGGCCTCCCTAAGTGCTGGGACTACAGGTGTGAGCCACCGCGCCTGGCCCTCTAAGCTACTCTTTACAGAGATGCTAAACCTATCTTCCTAAAGCAGATATCTGATCCACTGATTCTACAATTGAAATCTTGCCACAACTTGAAACCTACTGATTTCAGGGGGAAAAAAAAAAAAAAAAAGCACAATCATGATAGCATGATCCCAAAGTCCATTTACGCCCTGGCCCCTGCACACCTTTCTATCTTCCTCTTTTTGTATCCCCAACCCTCTGATCTGTCACCTCAACCTACTGCAGTTCTCCAGACTCTGTCCACACATCTCCACATAACATCCCCTCTTCAAAAGAGCATTCCACCCTTTACTTTCTGCCTTCACCTGGGTAGCTACTATTAGCTTTCATACTTAGCACACAAAACAACTCTATCAGGGTATCTTCCCTAAACAGCCCCTCTCTTCCAACCTGTGTGTTCACAGCATCTTATGTAACCCTCTATTATAGTAGTTACCATGCCAGAGAGAACTGGCTACTCACTTATGCCCCAACTAAACCACAAACTTTCTGAGGGCAGAGCCTGTGTGGTTTGTCTCTGCAACTCAAATGCACAGCGCAGCTCTTGCCCACCACAGCAGATACGTTTTGAAAGAATAAAAAGAAAAGAGGCATGGAAAGAAACACCTATGATGATAGGTTCTGCCAGTTTCATTCAAATTAGGTTACACTTGGCTAAAACCAGAGGAAACTCAACAGGTAAGACCTCTCTGCAGGTCACAAGGCTCAGGGAAGATTGTTTATTGTGGGACAGGTTTTACTCAGGGCTCTGATTGCAAGTCACAGATGCCCAACTCAAACTAGCTTAGGCAAACACAAGATATTATTAGTTCATGTGCTCAATCCACAGCAAGATCAGGGATGGTTGACACCAGGAACTCAAAGCTCAGCTGCACGGTCAATCCTTTCGTGATTTGACTTCTGTCTTCCAGTTTTATTCTCCTAGACCAGGTTCTCCATTTGTCGAGGAAATTGGGCAATGGTAGCTCAGGCTGACATCTTTGCTGTCTCTTTTCTACTTTCCTTCATTTCTCCAGTTGTAAAGTCCCAGGAAGGACTCTGATTGCTCTGGTTTGATTTGTGTGCCCTCCTTCACATTGGACTAATTGTCGTTTGGGAATAAAGCACTCGGATTTTTTCCAGGTGGAGCCATATGCTCATCTCTGGCCTCAGCTGGGGATGAAGTGGATAAGAGGATGGCAGCTCTCCCTTTGGACCATTTGGCTGGAGAAAGACTAGGAAGAGAAGCAGATCCCATGGCTATGACAGTCATGGTTTCTGGGGGCATCCTTGGAGCTGGAAAACGAAGCTAGTTTGTGTCAGTGACAAACGGTTCTAGAGGAAGATTTGGAAAAGTCTGAAAGGGAGGTGTATCAATTTAGCCATTGCCGCATAAGAAACAACATTCAAACTTAGTAGCTTGAGATAATACCAATTAGCTCACAATTCTGCAAGTTGACAGAATTGGCCCAGTTGGATGGTTTTTCTGGTCTTGGCTGGGCACATTCCTGAATCTGTAGTTGGCTGCCAGTCAATTATTAGCTCTACTTTTAGGAATTGACTGGCTCAACTAGGGTGCCAAAGGTGATGGGGCCATACAGTCCTTGTCATCCAGCTGGATAGCCTGGGGTTGTTGACACAGAGGCTCAGAATGTTTCCAAGACAATGAACAGAAACATGCAAGACCTCTTCAGGCCTGGGCTCAGAACTGGCACAAGGTCACTTTTGCCATATTCTATCACCAGAGAAAGCCACAGGACAGCCAAGATTCCAGGGCAGGGGAAATAGATTCTAACTTTCCATGGAAAAGCTTGGAAAGCACAGGGAGGAGTGAGGAATCTTGGCCATTTTTGCAAACTACTATCATAGGAGCAAAATAAGAGAGTAAGAGGAAACAGAAGGAAATGAAGGGTTGACAGCAGCAAGAGGGTAGAGGAACCAGGAGGAATAAAATCATGGGCAGTGTGCTGACGTGACAGGGGAGTGTGGCCTGATGGGATGTTGAAGGCCATAATGTCAAATGCAGGTGTTGTCATCTGGGGCACAGAATGGTAGAGGCAGGAGGACACATGCATCGTGGTCTCAAGCCTCCTGAAACCTGGTTCTAACCTTGCACCTTTGATATTTCATCAAGCTATTATTTTATTTTATTTTGAGAGGGAGTCTCCTTCTGTCATCCAGGTTGGAGTGCAATGGCATGATCTTGGCTCACTGCAACCTCCACCTCCCAGGTTCAAGCAATTCTCCTGCCTCAGCCTCCTGAGTAGCTGGGATTACAGCACCTGCCACCACGCCCAGCTAGTTTTTGTAATTTTAGTAGAGATGGGGTTTCACCATGTTGGTCAGGCTGGTCTCAAACTCTTCACCTTGTGATCTGCCCGCCTCGGCCTCCCAAAGTGCTGGGATTACAGGCGTGAGCCACCACACTCGGTCTCATCAAGCTATTATTTTAATTGGCTATCTCGAGTAAGACATCACGACTCTGCCTTAGCCAAGAATTGCCAGGTACAGGAACAAGCCAGGTAAGACTGGGAGGCATTTCAAAAGCAGATCTAAGTTTGGTTCTCTCCTTTTGTTTATGCATTTTACTTTATAAAAATTAAAAAGATAAAAGGAAGGCAGCCCCTGTGTTCCACTAAACTGGCTGTTAGGGGACTCTGGAGGCAAATTAGCAAGTGTATTATGATGATAGCATCTAGTTAAGCTAACAAAATGGCTCCTCAGACTCCATCAGTGGATCTGGTAGGTGGGAGCTCTCACAATATCTGAGAAAACCAAGCATTTGTTTCCAACAGTCAAGTTAGAAGCTTCAGCAGACAGCAGCTCCTTACTCAGGAGTTTCTGCCTAAGGAGAATGTACAAGGAACTGCCAGAAGAAGTGGGTGGATAGAAGAAAGATTGAGGAGGGGATCCTGGAAAGAGCTCATGGTTTGGCAACAGAAAACCTGTATTTGGGAGAAGTCCTTTCCACCACTTTTAAGTGGGATGACCTTGTGCAAGTTATTCTCTGAACCTCAGTCCCCATATCTGCAAAATAAGGGTAAGAATAGTATCTACCTCAATGGAAAATATTAATGATTCAATGAGATATGCTGGTAGTACAATCATGTGAACATTTTAAACACAAGGCATAGTTTTTGCTACTTGGGGAAGGTTAAGTTCCACGAGGCAGAGGCAAGATGTGGAATGGATGATAAAATTTGTTCCCTGAGCTATAAAAATCCTCACTTCTATTCCATAGCCTCAAATAACTGAGACTTCTCTATCAGAAACTGCAAGGGAAAGGAGCTCTCCTACAAACGTTACTCCCCTGAATCAGTAATTCCATCCAGAGCGATTCCCGGCATATTATTTCAATATGTATGGCAACATCATTGGACTTGGGCTGAACTGGGGCTCGTGGACTTACTGCCCCAGGCTCCAGGTCTCCAGAGCTCCATTCCCATCACTGCAACCCTGGAAACTGTGCCTTGGCTGGAGCAGTAATGCACCAGGGACAAGCAAACTTATTTGCATTCAAATTAATTCAAGAAAAGTAAAAATATTTTCCACATTTTTAAAATAAATGATACCTTTTTAAAAACATAAAACTAGAAAATCCAACAAGTACAACTGCACTACAGAGTGGTTTACTATTTCTCTGTTATCAAAGTCAGGTGTGTGTGTCTGTGTGTGTGTGTATGTGTGTGAGAGAGAAAGAGAGAAAGAGAAAGAGAGAGAGAGAGAGAGAGAGAGAGAGAAATGCCAATAATTATTCCATTAGCACGCTGGACGTCTCGCAAATATCAGTTTTCTATTGCCAAGTCATGAGCTCATTCCAGGATCCCCCCCGAAATCTTTCCCCATCCACCCACTCTTTTGGCAGTTCCTTGCACACTCCCCCTAGGCAGAAACTCCTGAGTAAGGAGCTTCTTTCTGCTTCAGCTTCTAACTTGGCTCATGGAAAGACACGCTTGGCGTTCGTTTTAGCTATTGTGAGAGCCCTGACCCACCAGATCCACTGATAGTCAGAGGATCCATGCAAGATTTGACTATTAACACATACATCCTTGAGCAAAATTTTGCAGTGAAGCTTGTAGGTGCTAGGTAGAGAGAGATTTAAGGAGTTTTGGAGGCAAGGTAGTGAAGTAGTACCAAATAGCTTGTACTCAGAGATGGTGAGAGGAAGAAAAGGGCTGGACTTCCCACCCCACCACTTTTTAATTTCTTTTTTATCTTTATTTTCTGAGTGTCCTGCAAACTGCTGGCACTTAATATATCCTCAATAACTATTTTCTGAACAAATGAATAAAAAGTAAATGCAGGAACAGGCCATAAATCAGGTGGCATCCCAACTAATGTGAAATTTAAACTTAAAAATACGCTTTGAATGACTGCTTTATTTCTCTAGACCTAATCTATAAAATTCCTAGAAGTACACATTCTTGCAACATGTAATCAAAAGAAGGAGAAACAGGGCTTCCTAGTCTTCTTCCTGGCTCCCTGTATCTCTCTCTCACACCCATCTGGGACCATGTCATTTACCATGTGCCCGCAGTTCTCAATGCCAGTTCCCCGCCAATGTCGGGGCCTGTGCTGTGACCGTAGCAGAAACAGCTTCCCTGCTTGAAGTTCAGAAGTTGCATAAGAGCTGGATGGGCTTCTCAGCTCAGTGAAGGATGGCCACGAAGTCAGTGAGCAAGGTTGTTCATGTTGGAGTTCAAAATGGTTATTTCCATTTTTGTTTGCTTCTGTGCTTATATTAAGGTAAATTACAAATGATGCGAGCCACATTTATTCAAAAAGCATTGATAAAGTTCCTGCTATTTGCCAAGCTTTGTTCTAGTCTCTGAGAATACAGAATGACATTACAAAAAAAAAAATAATAATAAAGAATGTATACTGATATGGAGGCACACCAAAAAATTTTTTAAAATACCAAATTAAGGCTGGGCGCAGTGGCTCACACCTGTAATCCCAGCACTTTGGGAGGCCAAGATGGGCGGATTGCCTGAGGTCAGGAGTTCAAGACTAGTCTGGCCAACATGATGGAACCCCGTCTCTATTAAAAATATTAAAAAAGTAGTCATGCATGGTGGTGCATGCCTGTAATCCCAGCTACTTGGGAGGCTGAGCCAGGGGAATTGCTTAAACCAGGGAGGTGGAGGTTGAAGTGAGCAGAGATCGCACCACTGCACTCCAGCCAGGGTGACAGAGCGAGACTCCACCTCAAAAAAAAAAAAAACAAATTAATATATACAATGTTATGTGATGTGCACTTTGTAGAAAAGTAAAGTAATATAGGAAAGTGGCAGAGAGGGGGGCCTGCTCTATTAATCGGGTGGTCAGGGGAGATAGGAAGGGGGCCACACTGAAGACAAAGCTTGGCTAACTTTTGTGTTGTCAGTAGAGACAGGGTTTCGCCATGTTGACCAGGCTAGTCTCAAACTCCTGACCCTCAGGTGATCCACCCATCTTGGCCTCCCAAAGTGCTAGGATTACAGAGGTGAGCCACCCACTGCACCCAGCTGAAAAGCCTGTAGTGGCTTGTTTATGCTCATCCTGGGTCCTACCTTAGCAATATTTTTTTTATAACTTGGATGAAGATTTAGCATACTGAGCAAATGTGCAGATGACATAGTGCTGAGAGAGTTTGATGAGCAAGGATGATTCAAAAAATAAAATGGGCCAGGTGCAGTGGCTCACAATCGTAATCCCAGCACTTTGGGAGGCTCAGGCTGGCAAATCACCTAAGTGCAGGAATTCCAGACCAGCCTGGCCAACATGACAAAACCTCATCTCTACTAAAACTAAAAAAAGTAGCTGGGTGTGGTGGCGCACACCTATAATCTCAGCTACTCTGGACGTCGAGGTATGAGAATCGCTTGAACCCAGGAGGTGGAGGTTGCAGTGAGCTCAGATCACACCACTGCACTCTAGCCTGGGTGACAGAGTAAAACTCCATCTCAAAAAAAAAAAAGTAAAAATAAAAATAAAATGTAGAGCTTCCATCAAAGTAACCAAATCCAATTATATTATACGCATCAGAAACAAAGTCATTCATGCATACATGCATTCCTTAACTCAAAAATATTTATTTGGTTTCTATTATACATCAGGTATTCTGCTAGGTGCTGGGGATTCAAAGATGAACAAGACAGACAAGGTATCTGTTCTTGTTTTGTAGAGCTCACAATTTAGTTCAGGAGACCAACCTTACACAAGTTAATCAATAAGGTAACTACCAATTGTGATAAGTGCTATGAAGTGGGATGAAATGCAGCATAGGTAGGTGGGGAGAGACTCCTTAGAAGCTTATGGTTTGGGGTCTGGGAAGGACTTGCATCATGGGAAGGAGACAGACTTGAGAAATCATAAGAGTGGGAAGAGCTTGCCTGGCTGAGGCAATGCCTTGTGCCAGGTTCCTGAGCTGAGAATGACCTTGGTGAGCTGCAGGAATTAGAGACCCAAGGGACGAGGGTGGAAGAGGTGAGCAGGACAGTGACTGGAGATGAGAAGTAAGCAGGAACCAGATCGCACAGGGCCTCAGCAAGAAAAAGAAAAGGTGTTTTATTCCTTGTGACTAAATGTGTACTAATCCCCTTGGGCTCGAAAATTACCTGCTCAAATACTGGTGAGGGAGCAGTGAGAGAGCCCAAGAACTTTGGTAATGACTTAATGATTGAAGTGAGCCATGAGTCAGCCTGGCCGCGGCAGGATGTGGTTTTGGAGAGCTAGGTAGGCTGCCATTGTATCAATAGAGCTACCTCATTCACTATAAAGAAGAGAGCATCCTGTCCCTCTGTGATACTCAGAGACACCTACGGCTCTGCATTCAGACACCAGCAGCACATTTTTCAAATGGCATCAACAAACTCAAACACATCTAGATGGAAACCAGAATCCTGAAGTGTCCATAAAAACATAACGTGCAGAACCAATGAGGAAAACGTGGCCCCCTGGACTGAAGAACAGCAGGCTTTGGGGGTATGAGTGTTGCCTTTGCAGGTCTGAAGCACTGTCATGTAGAGAAAAACAACATCACTTGAGAACTTAGGATGACCCAGGCAAGACATTGTGCTTTAAAGTGTGTGTCTCGTTGGACCTATCCCATAACCCCTGTGAAGCAGGGAGTGTTAGCCCCATTTTCATTTTTCACATAAAGGAACTGGCACTCAGGAGAAGCCCTTACCTGAGATTTTATGACTAATTAGTGACAAGATGGGATTAAAACTCAGGACTAAGCTGGTGGTCTTTCCCTTACATCACACGACCCTCAAGTGAAACAAAGTTGCTTACTCATTATAAGCCCAAAGGACAAAGAGAGGTACGAATTACACAGAACTGGTCTCCGCGGAAGACACTTTCTGGGAATGTGTGTGCGGTATAACAATGGAGTTATGCAGCCTCATCCTGGGAGGCATTTGACCTGAGGCCAGACGAACTTTTGTGAAAAAACTGTAGCGGGATCCCACATGTTGCAAGGAGGATGGACTTGGGCTCTGAAGGCTCTTTCAGCATTGACAAGATTATCTGGCTATGTCTCTAGAACAATTTCCATGTATGCATAACTACTATGTTGAAAATACTATGGGAGGTATGTAGACCAATGAAATAAAATTGAGAGTCCAGAGATAAACCTATGTATCTATGGCCAATTGGTTTTGAAAAAGGGTACCAAAGGAGACTAAATAATAGGACTCACCACCCTTCTTCCTGACCAGCTCAAGGAGATGAGCCTCCCATTGCCTCACCACCCACAGCTCTGCCCAAGATCATTGAAAATCAGGTGGAACAAGTCTATGAGCTCTGATTTGACTCCTGGTTCTGCTCCTCTCTTGGATAGAATCTGGTCTCAAGATGATGGCTCAGATACACCATATGCTCCCTCCTACAGACCAGACTCAAACCCATTTCACAGATCCATCTGGCCCAGGTGCAAGACTGATCTCACTCTAGACTTAAGTTCCACAGGAGGGAAAAGGTCAAGAGTGGAATTTTCCTCTCTTCTTGAAGAACTAGTCATTTAAAATTAAGAGGAAAATCCCTACACATAGGTTGCCATAAGCATGACCATGCTTCATGCAGGTAAACTACATTACTCAAGCTCATGAGTAACAGTATGTGCTGAGTTAGCAAATACGTCTATACAACTTACAGTCCACACAGGAGCAAATATATGCACAAAATGACTCCAAGTGACACACCCATTCCATACACATACATACCTTTCTACATACCTAAAAGCCTCCACCTCTTGCACAATCACAAGTATTCAATACACATGCACACAATACATACATATGCATGCACACACATGGTATAGGCATACTTCTAAGTGTATACACACCTGTTACTGACCATCACCACTAGAAAATTATCCCCAAGCTGCCTGATTTTTCTCCCAATTCAGAGTTAGCAAAGGTCTTGTCTTACCTCCCCTATTCCTGCACATGGGAGCAGATGGGAAAACGGCTTGCGCATATCAGAGGAATCACGTGCTCTCTGCCTTCTCACAACCTCATCTATAAATAAATGTAACATCACATTTCCTGGTCCCCCAGGGCAAGGAATTAGTTAGGAGCATGGGTTGGTAATCACTAGATAAACAATTACATCTCCTGATTTGGAAACCAGGTGATCCTGTCCAGCTGGAAAGGTATGAAAAGGTTTCGCTCTTGGCCTTGAACAAAATAAAACCTCTCTTTAAATCCCCTTTTGCAGAAAAGCAGGAGATAAGAAGCAAATGAAAGCCTACTAATCTCTTTTCTTTCATAAGAATAATGTCTTTTTTTTCCCTTTTTTTATTTCACAGAAAATGCCAATGGAATTGTAAACCAATCTAAAATCTGATGGAAGGGGAAAGACATAAAGTTGTAGCCACAGATATTTCAGCTTTAAGACATTCCTCACCTCTTCCCCCTAAGTCTCAGGTTCCCCATCAATGGAATGAAATGGACATACTAGACATCTCTTGGCTCAATTCCATGTCTAATAACCTTTGTAAGCTAGTTTCACTTCACATTAAATGTCATACTGGCCTGGATTCAAATTCTAGCTATGCTGCTTACAGGGAAACTTTATTTTTTTTTAACTTTTATTTTAGGTTAAGGTACCTACGCAAGTTTGTTATATAGGTAAACCATAGACAATATATAAAATGAATAGAAGTGCTTGTTACAGTGTAACATTACTTAACAAAAAAAAATGTAGAACTTCTGGTCCAGATAAAATAACCTAGGCCTGCTTTTCCCTACTTCTTCCTCTCATCCCACTAAGCACAACTATAAATCCTGAAAATGACACAAGAGACAACCAAAGGAGAACCCCAACAAGCAGTGAGAAGGAGGCAAGAATGTTTGGCACCCCAGGACTAGAGGAACAGAACAGTGACTGGACATTTTGCACCCTATACCCAATAGAAGAAGTCTACCTAAACCTACTGTTTTTTGACTCATTACTTAGCAAGAGAGAGCATCCCAGGTAGAGTCACAGGGGTTTGTTGTACAGACATTTCTCCACCCAGGTACTAAGCCTAACATTCAATAGTTATTTTTTTCTGATCATCTCCCTCCTCCCACCTTCCACCATTCAGCAGGCCCCAGTGACAGTTGTTCCCTTCTTTGTGTCCATGAGTTCTCATCGTTTAGCTCCCACTTATAAGTAAGAACATGTGGAATTTGGTTTTCTTTTCCTTGACAGTTTGCTAAGGATAATGGCCTCCAAGTCTATCCATGTTCCCTCAAAAGACATGATCTGTTTCTTTTTTATGGCTGCATAGTATTCCATCATATACATGTGCTGCCTTTTTTTAATCCAATCTGTCACTGATGAGCATTTAGGTTTATTCTGTGACTACTATTGTAAATACTGCTTCAGTGAACATTCACATGCATGTGTCTTTACGGTAGAATGATTTATATTCCTTTGAGTATATACCCAGTAATGGGATTGCTGGTTCAAATGGTATTTTTGTTTTTAGCTCTTTGAGGAATCACCACACTGCTTTCCACAATGGTTGAACAAATGTACACTCCCACCAACACTGTATAAGCGTTTCCTTTTCTCTGCAACCTCGCCAGCATCTGGCAACCTTAAGTAAAACAGTTAATTTCAGTAAACTTCAGATGTCTCTTCTGTAAAATGGAGAATTAACACCCAAGTTGTAGGATTATTGGAGAATTCAATGAAATAATGACTGCAGTGCCCTGCAAAACCTAATGAATCTTAATGTATCAGTTGCTGGTTGACTTGAAGAAGTGTCTCTCAGTGACTCACTTCCCACATTTGCAAAAGTTGAAAAGTGTGGTGAATAAATATATGGGAAGTGCAGTGTGTGGCACAGAAAGTAAAAGTATTATGTTAACTCCTTCCTTGTCTTCACGGCAGCAAAATTAGGGTTTTGGTGTAGAGCTAATATCACACATACAGTATTATTGTGACTTCTTTTGTGTGGGTCTCATCTTACATCCACATATACATTATAAGTTTTCTGAGGGCATCAGGTATTAAAGACTATGCTTTGTCTTGAAAGTTAGTGCAATATACTAAACTAGGGGTCATGAGGTCAGAGATACAGCTCTGGCTTGCCACCTACCTACCAGGTAATCCAAGGGAGTGATTCTTAAGAATCCCAGGCTCTCATTTTTCAGATTTATATGATGTGAGTGCTATTAATCTATTAATGTCTCATTTCATAGAGCTATTGTAAGGCTCAAAAGGGGTAACCAACGTGAAAGCACTTCAAAAAGTATTCAGTTCTTAATCAGGTCCTTTTCTGGATCAGTAGATATTGTTGAAGTAGGTACTTGGCCAAGGTGCTTAGCTAGTTGTTTAAAACCTCTCAACCATGATCTCTTGTTCAATGGATAATCTAGACCAGGGTAGGCAAGCTTCTTCCATAAATGGGCAGATTATAACTACTTTATGTCTACTCACCTCCATACCTCCTGGTGGAAGAGAGGGCAGTTGTGTCTGTCTTAACTACTCAACTCTGCTGTGTAACACCGAAGAAACCATAGACAATATATAAAATGAACAGGAGTGGCTGTTATAGTGTAACGTTACTTAACAAAAAAAAAATGTAGAACTTCTGGTCCAGATAAAATAACCTAGGCTTGCTTTTCCCTACTTCTTCCTCTCATCCCACTAAACACAACTATAAATCCTGAAAATGACACAAGAGACAACCAAAGGAGAACCCCAACAAGCAGTGAGAAGGAGGCAAGAATGTTTGGCACCCCAGGACTGGAGGAACAGAACAGTGGCTTGACATCTTGCACCCTATACCCAACAGAAGAAGCCTACCTAAACCTACTGTTTTTTGACTCATTATTTAGCAAGAGAGGGCATCCCAGGTAAAGTCATTCCTCTGCTAGAGGAAGGTAAAGAGTCCTAAGCGGAAATGAGCTTTTCACATCTCACTTGATGTAGTAAAATGATGATACCAGTTGGCTATTATGTCAGTCACATATGTATATCGTAATACCCAAAGCAACCGCTATGAAAACTATTCAAAAAGATACACTCAAAGCCACCACAAGGCCGGTGCAGTGGCTCATGCCTGTAATCCCAGAACTCTGGGAGGCTGAAGCAGGTCGATCACCTGAGGTCACGAGTTTGAGATCAGCCTGGCCAATATGGTGAAACCCTGTCTCTACGAAAAAAAAAAAAAAAAATTAGCCAGGCATGGTGGCAGGTAAAATTACAGTAACTGTAATCCCAGCTATTCGGGAGGCTGAGACAGGAGAATCACCTGAACCCAGGAGAGGGAGGATGCAGTGAGCTGAGATTGTGCATTGCATTCTAGCCTGGGCAATAAGAGCAAAACTCCACCGCTCCACCCCCCGAAAAAAAAGAAAAAGCCACCACAAATAAATCAAGATGAAATCCTAAAACATGTCAAGTAACTTTCAAGAAGTCAAGAAAAGAGAAACAGAAAACAAAAAATGGCAGACTTAAGCACTAACATATCAATGATTACCTTATATGTAAATAATATAAATACACAGGTCAAAAGATGGATTGACAGAGTGGATAGAAAAATCATGCCCAAATTTATGCTTCTTATAATAAACTCACTTAAAATTCAATAACAGAGGAAGGCTAAAAGTAAATGAATGAAATGAGATAAACCATCAAAAATTAATTTTTCAAAGAAAAAGCCAGAATGGCTACATAAATATCTGATAAAGTAGATTTCAGAAAAAAAAATACTAGAGACAAAGAGGGATATTGGATTATTGTTACAGCATAAGTCTATGAGAAAGACATAATGATTTCAAATGTGTACACATCAAACAACAGAACCCCAAAATACATGAAGCAACAACTGATGGAATTGAAAGTGGTAATATCAAGTCCACAGTTATACCTGGGGGCTCCAACCTGCCTTTCTCAGCAACTAACAGAACTACTAGATTGAAAATCAGTAAGGATATAGAACATCTGAACAACATAACCACAAAGATAAAATTGACATATATAGAGCACTTCACCCAATAACAGCAAGATAACACATTTTTTTCAAGTAGCTAGTGCATATTCACCAAGATATCACACCTGGGGCATAAAACAAATCTTAAAAAAAAAAAAAAAAAGAGTTGAAGTTACAGAGAGTGTGTTCTCTGACCATTATGGTATCTAACCAGAAATCAGTAGGAGAAGAGCAACAGCACAATCTCTAAACATGTGAAAATTAAATAACAGACCAGGCACAGTGGCTCACACCTGTAATCCCAGCACTTTGGGAGGCCAAGGAGGATCACTTGAGGTCAGGAGTTCGAGACCAGCCTGGCCAACATAGCGAAACCCTGTCTCTACTGAAAATACAAAAATTAGCCAGGCATGGTGACAGGCACCTATAATCCCAGCTACTCGGGAGGCTGAGGCAGGAGAAGAGCTTTAACCCGGGAGGCGGAGGTTACAGTGAGCCGAGATCACACCACTGCACTCCAGCCCAGGTGACAGAATGCGACTCTGTCGAAAGAAAAGGAAAAGGAAAAGGAAAGGAAAGGAAAGGAAAGGAAAGGAAAGGAAAGGAAAGGAAAGGAAAGGAAAGGAAAGGAAAGGAAAGGAAAGGAAAGGAAAGTTGGTTGGTTAAATAACACACATCTAAATAATCAATAGGCCAAAGAGAAAGTCTCCAAGTAAATTTTTTTTAATGCATAGAACTGAATGGAAATAAAAGCGTAACATAGCAATAAGTGTACGATGCTTCTAAAGCATACTGAGAGGGAAATCAATAGCATTAAATGCTTACACTAAAACGGAGGAGATAAATCAATGATCTAAGTTTCTATTCCAAAACACTAGGGAAAAAAAGGCAAAATAAACCCAAAGGAAGCAAAACAAAGAAAATAATAGTGATAAAAGCAGAACTCAATGAGATTTAAATAGGGAAATAATAGAAATACAACAAAATAAAAATTTCCTTGAAAAACATTAATAAAATTTATAAACCTCTAGCAAGACTGACAAAGATGAAAATAGAGAAGACACAAATCACCAGGATCAGGAATGAAATGGAATATCACTTCAGGTCCTGAGCCATTAAAAGATTGATAAGCAGTAAAATACAGACAACCTTATTCTCACAAACTTAACAACTTAGAATAAATATCAATTCCTCAGACACTACAAACTATTAAATTACGCCTAAAATAAAATGGACAATCTGAATAGCCCTACATCCATTAAGGAAACTAAATTTGTAGTTTAAAAGCTCTGGAAAAGCAAATTATCCAGGACCAGAAAGTCTCATTACTGAGTCCTACCAAACAGTTAAATAAGAATTAACACCAATTTTACACAATTTCTTCAAAAATATAGAAGAATAGAGAACACTTCCCAACTCATTTTATGAGGTCAGTTTTACCATGACACCAAAACCACATAAAAACAGTACCAAGAAAACTGCAGACAGTATGTCTCATGCACATAAACACCAAAATCTTCAACATAAGATTAGTAAACTAAATGCAGCAATTATAAAAAGAATTATACATCATACAAAAGGGGGAAGTTATTCCAGGGATGCAGGGCTGCTTTTAAAATCAGGCAACATAACATACTCTATTAACAAACTAAAAAAGAAAAATCATGTTTGTATCAATTGATGCAGATAAAACATTTGACAAAATTCAACAGCCATTTGGGTTTTTTTTTAAATCGCAGTAATTAGGAATAGAGAGCAATTATTTAAACTCAATAAGTAGTACCTGCTAAAGTCCTACAGCCAACATCATGTTTAATGGTGAAAGACTGAATATTTTTCTCCTAAGATCATGATGAAGGCAACTGGTACACTCACCATTACTATTCAACATAGCACTGAGAAATTCTAGCCACTATAGTAAGGCAAGAAGAAATAAATAAATAGGAAGCAGACATACAGAAAGGAAGAAAATTTTCTCTATTTGCAGTTGACATGATTGATAATTGCCTGTGTAGAAAAAAATCTACCAAAAACAAAACATAACAACAAAAAGAAAACCTTCCTCCAACAACTAAGCCTAATAAGTGACTTCAACAAGATTCCAGGACACAAGATCAACACACAAAAGTCAATCACATTTCTATACACTCACAATGAACATGTAGAATCACAATTAAAAACACAATACCATTTTCCAGTGACAATGAAATACTTATATACTTAATAAAACATGTATAAAATACATGTTTATATTATAAAACAAAACATGAATGTAATATGCTGAAAACAACACAATGCTGATGAAATAAATCAAAGACTAAAATAAATGAAGAGACATACTGTGTACATGTATCAAAAGACTCAACATAAGATGTCAGTTCTCCTCAAACTGATCTAGCGTTTTAAATCTCACAAAATCCCAGTAATGTTTTTATTTCTAAATGTAGACAAGCTCATTCTAAAATTTATTAAAAATGCCACAAGCGCTAGAATAACTAAATCAATCTTAAGAAAGAAGAATAAAGTGAGAGGAATCAATCTGTTACAAAAGCTTCTTTATAGCTACAGTAATCAAGACAATGGGGTTTTGGTAGAGGTATAGACATATTGACCAATGGAACAGAAGAGAGAATCCAGAAATACCCCACAGAAATATTTCCAACAGACTTTTGGTATCAAGGAAGGAAACAGGGTCTTTTCAATAAATGGTGCTAAGCAATTGGACTTCCATAGACAAAATGAACCTTGACCTAAGTCACCTTATGTAAAAAATACTGAAAATGGATCATGCACTTAAATGTAAAATGTAAAATCAATAAAACATTTAGACAGGATGTAGAAAAAAATCTTCAGGATTTAGGACTAAGCAAAGAGTTATTAGACTTAATATCAAAAGCAGAACCCATAAGTGGAAAAATTGATAAATTGAATTTCATCAAAATTTAAAACTTTTGCGCTGTGAATTCTCCTTTGAAGAAGATAAAAAGACAAGGTACGAAGTGGGAGAAAATATTTGCAAACTATATACCTGACAAAAGTACTGGTATTTAGAATATATACAGAGAGCTCTCAAACCAAACAATCAAATTAGAAAATGGGCAAAATACATGAGCTTCATCACTAGTCATCAAGAAATACAAATTAAAGCCACAATGAAATATCATCATACACCTATCAGAATAGCTAAAATAAAAAATAGTGACAACACCAAATGATGATAAGGATGAGAAACTAATCACTTTACATTGCTGGTGGAAATGTCAAACGGTACAGCCACTCTGGAAAACATTTCTGCACTTTCTTGTAATATTAACGATACAAATACTCTACCACCCAGCAATTACATTCTTGTGCATTTATCCTAAGAAAACGAAAACATGTTCACACAAAAAACCTGCACACAAATGTTTATCGCAACTTTATTTTTAACAGTGAAAAACTGGAATCATTCCAGATGTGTTTCAACAGATCAATGGTTAAACTTTGTTATAGATATACTATGGAATGCTACTCAGCCATAAATGTAAAACCGGTGCTACATGCGATAACTTGGGTAATTTCCAAGCAATTAGGCTTAATAGAAAAAAAAGCCAATCCCAAAAAGTTACCTACAGAATGATTCCATTTATATCACAAATGACAGTATTTTAGAACTGGAGACCAGATGATTAGTGTTTCTCAGTGGTTAGGGGCACAGGATTTGGTGGGGGCGGCAGGGGTGGCACAGGATTTGTTGGGGGTGGTGGGGGGGAACACAGGTGAATATGGTGATAAAAGGGCAACATGAGAGATACTTGTGGTATTGGAGCTGTTTGTTATCTTGACAAATGTGGTTGTCAGTACACAAGTTGTCACACGATAAAATGGCATAGCAGTTAATAAACGCATAAAGATGGGCAAAAGTAAAACAGGAAAAATCTGAATATGATCAGTGTATTGTATTGATGTCAATTTCCTGGTTGCAACATTATACTATAGTTTTGAAAAATATTACCACTAAGAAAAATGGCACACTGTGCAAGGAGTCTCTCTGTATTATCTTTTACAACTGCATGTGAATCTATAATTATCTCAATCAGTTTCAACTTTTTTCAAAAAAATTAAAAATAAAATGCATGGCAGGCCATATTTGGCCTGTGCACCATGGTTTTCAGCTCCAATCTGGAACATCATTTCTCAACCATGGAAGCACAGTAAAATTACCTAGGCCAGGTGTGATGGCTCACGCCTGTAATCCCAGCACTTTGGGAGGCTGAGGCAGGTGGATCACCTGAGGTCAGGAGTTCGAGAGCAGCCTGGCCAATATGGTGAAAGCCCATCTTTACCAAAAATACCAAAATTAGCCAGGTGTGGTGGTGCATGCCTGTAATCCAAGCTACTTGAGAGGTTAAGGCAGGAGAATCGCTTAAACCAGGGAAACGGAGGTAACAGTAAACCAAGATCATGCCACTGCACTCCAGCCTGGACAAAAGAGCAAGACTCTCTCTCAAAAAAAAATAAATCACCTGGGGAGATTTTACAGACAGAAATGTCAGGCATGGCGGCTCACGTCTGCAATCCCAGCACTTTGGGAGGCCGATGTGTGCAGATCACGAGGTCAGGAGATCGAGACCATCCAGACCAACATAATGAAACCCTGTCTGTACTAAAAATACAAAAAAAAAATAGCTGGGTGTGGTGGTGTGCACCTGTAGTCCCAGCTACTCAGGAGGCTGAGGCAGGAGAATCGTTTGAACCCAGGAGGCAGAGGTTGCAGTGAGCACAGATCACGCCACTGCACTCCAGCCTGGAGAAAGAGCGAGACTCTGTCTAAAAAAAAGAGAAAAGAGGAAAGGAAAAAGGAAAGGAAAAGGAAAAGGAAAGGTCTGGGGTCTACCCCAGACACTTTGCTTTTAATTCATTCAGGCTGAAACCTAGGCATGTATATTTGTTCAGAGTTCCCCAGGGAATTCTAATCACGTTGGAGAGCCATCGATCCTTTGAATATAAAATGCCACTTTTGTTTTCTCTTTTATCCTTATTTCACATTTAATGAGATACCAAAACCTAGAAATCTGCCCATATAAAAAATTTTAACTTTTCCCTCCTATCAAGACTACCAGTGCCTCAACTCAGGCCTTCATCACCCATCACATGAACTGATATAACAAACTCTGAACTGCTTGGTTTGTGTCCAGTGCTTCCCCTTGAAATGACCTCTAGTGGTATTTTCAAACTGCATAAATGATCGTGGCACTCTTTTGCATAAAATCCTTTGTAAGTTCCACTTTGCCTGAAAGAGCCCATCTCTGCTCTTTCATTGGGCCTATTTAATCTAGCCCCTACCTACCCACTTCCTCCTCCTCTCCATCCTATTCAACTTCCCTCCCACTCATACTGCACTTCGCATACTCTTTGGACACTCCTAGCCTTTTCACAGCTTCATACCTCTATACATGCAAGGCCTAAAATCAACTTTTAAAAAACTTCTTCACTGGGAAAAATTCCTACTTTTCTGTCAAGACAATCCTTTAATGAAGGCTTCTCCAGGAAGAGCAGCTCCTCACTTCTCTAGACTTCTCACCATCTCACTTCACTCACACCATCTTTCATCAAGTCCATCCTGTACACTAGGTTGTATGTTTCTAAAGGCCAGTGGCCAGGCCTTATTCAGCTCTATATTCTGGGTGTTTAGTACAGGATTTGGAATATAGTCGCATTTTTAAAGGGCTGAAATAATTGAAATAAGGAAGTAGAGTCAAGATTAGAACCCTGAAACTCATACTCATCCTTGTGTCTTTTTTCTTTTCTTGAGATGGAGTCTCACTGTTGTCACCTGGGCTGGAGTGCAATGGCACCATCTTGGCTTACTGCAACCTCTACCTCCTGAGTTCCAGCAATTCTCCTGCCTCAGCCTCCTGAGTAGCTGAGGTTACAAGCGCCCATCACCATGCTTGGATAATTTTTGTATTTTTAGTAGAGATAGAGTTTCACCATGTTAGCCAGGCTGGTCATGAACTCCTGACCTCAGGTGATCCACCCGCCTTGGCCTCCCAAAGTGCTGGAATTACAGGTGTGAGTCACCATGCCTGGCCTCATCCTTGTGTCTTAACTATCATTAACTTCAGGAAGTCTTTTCTGAGGCTCACAAAGGAGGTGTGCTACCGTCTAAATATTTGTGTTCCCTCAAAATTCAGAGGTGGAAACTTAACGCCCAAGATGATGGTGTTAGGAGGTGACACCTATGAGGAGGTGATTGTCTCATGGCAGCAGAGCCCCTGTGGATTGGATTAGTGCCATTATAATACAGGACCCAGAGAGCTCCCTCACTCCTTCCACCATGTGGGGACTCAGTGAGAAGATGTGGTCTATGAACCAAGAAATGGGCCCTCAATAGACAAAAAATCAATGGGCATCTTGATCTTGGACTTCCCAACCTCCAGAGCCATGAGAAATAAGTTTGTGTTTCTTATTAGCTACCCAGTATGTGCATTTGCCATAACAGCTTGAGTGGATTAACCTGTAGCACTATGTGTTTTCTACTGTAGCACTATCACATTTTCTGCTATAATCACTGAATTAAATGTCTGTTTCCTAACAGCTATAAACTCCATGGGATATGGAGTTCATTCATGAGATACAGATATGTTCATTGCAGCATTTTTCACAATAGCCAAGATATGAAAATAATCTCAGTGTCTGTCTGGATCATTGCTGCTTATTGCTTCAGACCTAGTGCCCAGTACACAGTAAATGCTCAATAAATGGTGGTTTCATGAATAAATGCATGATTTCTCTTTAGTGATCTTTTAGCACATAAATTTTTCCTCTTTGCTTCTTACCCTGGAACTACAGCTTCCCTTTCCCAACACCATTTCTTAGCAGCAGGAAATACTATTTCCAAGACAAATTGTTGAACCATCTGTCCTCTCCTTACTTGAGGAATGTCTTTGCTGCCTAAGTGGTGGGGAGGTGACAATTCATGACCAATCTGCTTTGTTAGGATTTGGATGTGACATCACTCTGTCTGCTGAGCCCACAATAGTCACAATCTCAATGGTCCTTAGGACCTGATTACACTAATTACACAACATCCTTTTGTAGAGGAAATGAGGATTTGAACTAAATGTGAGGGATCCCAACAGGGCGGGTGGCTTTAAAAGTGTGATGTTATCACGTGTGCTATGCAAATTGCATTTGGGTTGAAATACGAGTTCTCTTCGCCTGACTCAAAAGCGCTGGGTGAAAACATCAGAGTTACTGTAAAATATGGTGACATGCCAGAGCTCACACATTATGCTGAGAGGCCTCTGATACATGATACAGCAAAGGCACTTCCCCTTTATTCTTTTATTCAGCGTTTGAGGGAGTTGCCAATCTAATAATAAATTCTTCTTCCCAGGAAGAAGACACCAAAAGAGGACAAAACAGCATTTTTGATTAAAAAAAAAAAGTGTGTGTGTTAAGAGAGGAAATCGTTTTGCATTTTTTCAGCTCCTTCTACAGAAGGCAGTAGCACTGGAAAAACACACACTCATTTATTGTCACAGCAGCAGAACAGCAGGGACTCCTCATTGTCTGTTTTTCTAAGGATGGAAAATGGAGCCACAGGAGAGTTCTTGAGTACAGCAAGACAGAGCAGGGACAAGATTGTAGAAATAGGATGTCCCTCCTGGAACCAGTAAGATTTTGGGAGGACAGCATCATTTGAAAGGACAAAAGAATGGCCAGTCTGACTGCCAAGACATATTCTGTTTTGTATAGAATGAGATGACTCACTTGTGATAATTTGAAAAACCTAAATAAATGGTTTCTAAACTTTTTAAAATTACTTAGCCAGTAAGTTTAAAAAAAAATTTAGGGAATGAATCCCCAACACATTTATTCCTGTTCTTTCCTCTCCATTTGTGAGGAAAAGATAAACTCCCTGAGGACAAATACTTTGCCTTATTCAATACTGCAGCTGAAGTGCCTAGAACGGTGCTTGGGGCATAGTGAGTGCCCAATAAATACCTTTTGAATGAAATAATAAACACATAAATAAATGCATGTATATTTATGTATGAATTGTATCCACATACTCAAACTAATGTATATTCATGTAGCAAAATACTATGCAAATTTTAATGCATATCAGAAGATGGAAACATTTAAATAAAGAGATACAAATAAATATGAACAGTAGTTCTTGTGATTTGTTTCCCCCGTACTTGCCCCAAAATATTACCATCTACTTCACTTTGGACTGGATGTAAAATTATTTTTAAACTTCAGTGTGAATATGAATTGCCAGGGAAGCCTTTTTAAAATGCATATTTTTATCTAGCCCTTCCCTCTCTCATTCCTCAACCTTTGCCTTCAGATTCTGATTTAATAGGTCTGGTAAAGCAAAGCTTGGAAATTGTATTTTTAACAAGCTCCAAGAAAATTGTGATGCAAGTAGACTTGGAATTACACTTCACACAAAACCTATTGTAAGAAAAAGTGTTGACTACCTGGGGCCTAAATCACTACATGTGCAAGCCCCTGCAGTGAGTTTGCTTTACCTTCCAGGATGATGCAGTTTTTTGGAGCTTGGCTTTTCAAATAGAAACACACACACACATACACACACCTTCTCCACAGTGTTTTGTACCCTAAGCGTCAAAACAAAAATCTAAGCTCACCTACAGCAATGTCTTGAGCGGTTTGGGTACCAGAGACATCTCAAAACCATGGACAGCTCCCAGGAACTTACCAGCCACCCACTTACCATAGCCTCCTAGGCATCATTCCCTGTTGTCTGCTGCCCCCTATCTGGGGTGTGCAAAGCAGCACATGTGCCTGTAAAATGGTGGAGTCAAGGCTCTGCTCCCTAAGACCCCAAGAGAACCTACACTGTACCTGAAGGACATCATAGTGGCCTCTCAATCTCCATCTACCTTGTGTCTTCTCGAGTGCTTCCTTCTCCAGAATGCTGTTGGCACTGAGCAGCAGTTCACACCAGCATAATTCATGGCCACACACAAAAATCATAATATGAAGGGAGTACCCAAAATATTACTATCTACTTCATTGGCAGATGAGAAGTAGACAGTGGGTGAGAGAACAGCACCCCAAGTGGGGGAACTGGTTGATCAAGGACATGGTGGCAAAACAATCCTACAAGCATGTAGTAAGCTCCTGTCATATGCCAGGCACTGTAAACAAGGCAATCGGATTAGGTATTTTTTTTCTTTCTTTAAACTTTCCATTTTTAAAAAATTTTAGACTTACAGAAGAGTTACAAAAATAGTAAAAAGTGTTTACATTCTTAATGTTAACAACTTAACCATAATTCAATTATCAAAATCAGGAAATTAACATATAAATAATTCAAGTCTGACCAGCTTTCCCCCAATGTCCTTTTTCTGTTCCAGAGTATAATCTAGAATTCTACATTGCACTTATTTGCTATGTTTTAGTCTTTTTCAGTCTATGACAATATCTTATTCTTTCATTGTATTTTATGAATTTGATGTTTATAATTTTTTATATTTCACATACTTTATCAGCAATTCATAACACTGATTACATACAATGAATTGATGTAACATGGTATTTTCTTTCTGTATTTCTAGATACAATATTCCCACAGTAATGGCAATAAGTACATACAAATGGATAATGTACTTTTTAATTTTTATATTGATAAGAAATATATATTATAATCCAATTAAAAATGGGCAAAGGACCTGAACAGAAATTCCTCCAAAGAAGACATACAAATAGTCAACAGGAATATGAAATGGAGTGCAACATCACTAATCATCAGGGAAATGCATATTAAAGCCACTAGGAGAGATCATCTTACTCACATTAGGATAGCTATTATCCAGGAGATAAGAGATAATAAATGTTGGGAAAGATGTGGAGAAAAGGGAACTCATGTACACTGTTAGTAGGAATGTAGATGTGGGTAACCATTACAGAAAACAACGTGGAGGCTCCTAAAGAAATTGAAAATAGAATTGCCATTTGACCCAGTGATCCCACTTCTGGTTATACACCCAAAGGAGATGAAATCACCACCTCATAAAAATATCATGCTCCCATGTTCACTGCAGCATTTTTCACAGTAGCCAAGATATGAAAATAATCTCAGTGTCTGCTGACAAATGGATAAAGAAATTGTGTGGTGTAGGTATGTATGCGTATACATATATATATATATATATATACACACAGACACACACACATATACATATATACACATATACATAATATACATACATACATACATATACATGTATGATTCCACTGTATGTATGCATATGTGTGTATATACACATATGGATTATATGTATATGTGTTTGTATGTATACATATACACAATGGAATATTATTCAGCCTTTAAAAAGAATATCCTGCCTTTTGCCACAACATGGATGAACCCAGACAACATCATACTAAGTAAAATAACCAGACACAGAAAAAAAATATTGCATGATTTCATTTGTATGCAGAATCTACACATTTTTTAAAGGTCAAATATACAGAGATAGAGAATAAAAGCAGTGGTTACCAGCGGCAGAGGATCAGGAAAGAAAATGAAGAGCTATAGGTCAAAGGATTTAAAGTAGCAGATTTGTAGAATAAACAAATCTAGATATATAAGATACAATATGAACACTATAGAACACTATAGTTAATAAAAGTGTATTGTATTAGAGATCTTTGTTAAGTAGATATTAGCTGCTCATTACAAAAATTATCTATGTGCAATAATAGATACATTAACTTGGTTCACTGTAGTAAGCATTTTACTATCTATACTTATAACATCATGTTGTAAACCTCAAATATACACAATAAAGGGATGAGAAATAACTTAATGTTTACAAAGTGCATTATTCAGGTGATAGTTACACTGAAAGCCTAGACTTCATCACTATACAATATATCCATGTAACAAAACTGTACTTATACCTCTTAAATTTGCACAAATAAAAAAATTATTTAAAAATACTGTATATATTTATGATGTACAACATGATGTTTGGAAATATGTATACATTTTGGACTGGCTAAATCAACTAACCTGCCCATTAGCTCACATACTTATTTTTTTGTCATGAGAACTCTTAAAATAAACTCCTTTAGCAATTTAACATGACTTCAATATGTTTAACGTGTAACGCTCAGTTATTTTGTAGAGTATCTCTCAATTTGGGTTTGTCTGACACTTCCTCATGATTCCTTTTTGAGGTTTGAGGTTATAAATTTTTGGCAAAAATATGACAAAAGTGATATACTCTTCCTGGTTCATCACATCAGGGTAATTTGATATCAAAATGACTTATTGGTGATATGAGCCTTGAGCATTTGGTTAAGGTGATGTCTGCTGAGTTTTGTTAAAGTTAATAGTTTTCATTTGAAATTGATAAATATCCTGGGAGAGATAGTTTGAAAATAATAATAATATATTGTTTCTTCTCAAACTTTTACCTACTAGTTTTTATATCTGTCAGTAGCTTATGCCTGTAATAATTATTGCTATGGTATTTGCCTAAAGGAGATTTTGTATTTTTCTCATTTCTTCATTATTAATTGAATTCTTCTGTAAGATAGAGCTATTCCATCTCCCCCTTATATTTATTTATCCAGTTATTTGTTTATGACACTATGGATTTAGGGACATTTACTTTATTCTATGAGTAATAATACAATACTATCCTCATTTATTTTGTTGCTTAAATTGTTCTAGCTTTGGCCATTGGGAAGTCCTTACAGTAAGCACCCATGTCATTTCAACATGCTCCATCCTTTTCTGAGTAGGTTCTTATTTTCTGGTATCACAAGAAAGATATTCCAGGCTCCTCGCCTCACATTTTTCTTGACCCAGCCCTGGAATAAACCACCACTTCTTCAAGGAGTCCTGGTTCTCTTTTTTTTTTTTTTTTTTTTTGAGACTCATTCTGTCACCCAGACTGGAGTGCAGTGATGTGACCTTGGCTCACTGCAACCTCTGCCTCCCAGGTTCAAGCAGTTCTCCTGCCTCAGCCTCCCAAGTAGCTGGGACTACATGCACACACCTCTGTGCCCAGCTAATGTTTTGTATTTTAGTAGAGATGAGTTTTCATCATGTTGCCCAGGCTGGTCTCTAACTCCTGAGCTCAGACAATCTGCCCACCTCAGCCTCCCAAAGTGCTAGGATTACAGGCATAAGCCACAGCACCCTGCCATGTCCTGGTTCTTTTTATTGGAGAATGGCACCTAGAAGCCAAGAACTTAGTGATAGGGATGTTCACTACCACTTGAATAACATTGCTTAAGTTCTCTCTGTGGCCAAAGCTACAAAATAAATGCATGTGTACATAAATATCTATATATATTTATATAAACACATATAAACATGTGTGTGTATACACATATATATATTAGAACCATGAGTTCATAATCCTCCAATTCCAACCCAATACCACTAAATTCACTCTAGCTTTTCCCCTTTTAACTTCTTTCTCCGACAGTGAGATACCTGACTCTTGACTGTTATCTACAATTTATTTACGTGCTTGTTCAACAAATATACACATGTAGTAACAGAACTGTAAACATGCCCGATGAGAATACAGTTGCTGTGCACAGCTCTTTTTGTCTTTAACCTTGCAGTATCTTTCAAAAAGAAAAAAACTGCTTTCCAGAAGTAGAATTTTAGTGTCAATTTACAGTGTATGTGTGTATGTTTTAGCATTTGTGTGTTTTATTCTGTACTTTCTATGATTTAAATACCTCTACTCACCCCATTTTCCAAATGTAAACTGAAATTAAGACAGTGAAAACAGCTGTTACTATACCAGGTTACTATAGTAGGTGAGGGAACAATATGGATCTCACAGACAGTGCTCTGTTACACATACAAGCTCCTCTCTACCTTAATCCTCTTGATGTGCATCCACATCCTCTCTACAAAGCTTAGGATTAATCGCTTGTCAGAGTATTACATAAGCAATAAGCAATAACCAAACTGCTGGCCACCATTTTCCAAGGCCTGCTTCCACGGACACCTGTGCTTGACCCTGTCATCACATTTATTGCCTTTTGACTACCTTTTTACTATTATCCCTACACCTCTGCCACCCTGAGTCTAAGTCCTTGATAGTGTCTTACTTATACCTATCTACATTCCCTTAGTGCTCACAATAAAGTACGTATTCTACATGTTTCTTGAACATCTGAAAGAACATGAGTCAAATTGAAACAGTTTGGCTTAGACAGTGTCCTTAGATCCCCTGCAGAAAATCACCAAGTCTGCTTGCTAAAAATGTGAACCCAGGGCCTTACCTGGAAGTCCTAAGATTCAGTAGTTTAGGGCCACGCCCAGGAATATGCATTTGTACAAGAAAACCCGTAATTCTTATCTACTTTTACATTTCCTAACCGCATGAATGCTGACTAATGTGGTACTGACAAGAAGTACACCAATAAGGGAGGAGTTTGGTAAAGCAGAGTAAGCAGGTGAGGCTTCTTGGAGGAGGAATTATCACCTGACTCTTTTAAGATAGCTCCAACCAAGCCAAGAAAAGGTCAAGATACCCAGAAAACAAAAGTGTTAACAGCAGCTATCTCATGCCTGCTTCAGTGGTCTGAGACAGTGAAGGAATCTTCGGAAATTTTTCTCAGGAGCCTTTTACAAGTACAGCTGTTGTTTATATAAAAATGCAGAGGATGTGTATTCTGAGTGCAGTCTCTACTAAGTCTAGGTTTCTAAATGACCTTGAGAAATATTAATTATAATTGTTAATAATTCTAAATATAATTATGTATCAATAGTTATATATTAATGATTGTATAAAATATTAATTATAATTAATAATAATGATAATGATAATTATTAATTATACCATGATAGTCATATTAGCATCATCATTATTTAGAAAACATTTAAAATATCTCACGCATTATGCTAAGCATTTTTTATGCATTTCCTCTGTACAACAGTATAGTTACTATTATAATTTTCGTATTTCATAATGACATTCAAATTCACAGAGATTCAGTCACCTTCGTAAAGTGGCACAATGAATGCTTTCCTCACATCAAAACTGAGAATAATATCACCTCCCTCAGAGATCTGTGATGAGTTTTAAATTATAAGTTTCTGGTAAATTTTATGGATGAAAAGAAAAAAAAACAAACTACTGACAGTGCCAATTCTGAGGAAAAGAACTGGAAGTTGGGATGGAAGGAGAATACATTTTCCCTGTATATTATTTAGCACTTTGTGAAATTCATGAGTTCTTGCTATAAAAAAAATAAAAATTCACAATGGTTGAACTAATTTACACTCCCACCAACAATGTTAAAAGCGTTCCTATATCTCCACATCCTCTCCAGCATTTGTTGTTTCCTGACTTTTTAATGATCGCCATTCTAACTGGCATAAGATGGTATCTAATTGTGGTTTTGATTTGCATTTCTCTAATGACCAGTGATGATGAGCTTTTTTTCATATGTTTGTTGGCCGCATAAATGTCTTCTTTTGAGAAGTGTCTGTTCATATCATTTGCCTCCTTTTTGATGGGGTTGCTTGTTTTTTCTTGTAAATTTGTTTAAGTTATTTGTATATTCTGGATATTAGTCCTTTCTCAGATGGATAGATTGCAAAAATTTTCTCCTATTCTGTAGGTTGCCTGTTTACTCTGATGATAGTTTCTTTGGCTGTGCACAAGCTCTTTAGTTTAATTAGATCCCATTTGTCAATTTTGGCTTTTGTTGCCATTGCTTTTGGTGTTTTAGTCATGAAGTCCTTGCCCATGCCTATGTCCTGAATGGTATTGCCTAGGTTTTCTTCTAGGGTTTTTATGGTCTTAGGAAGACAGTGTGGTGATTCCTCAAGGATCTAGAACCAGAAATACCATTTGACCCAGCAATCCCATTACTGGGTATATACCCAAAGGATTATAAATCATGCTGCTATAAAGACACATGCACACGTATGTTTATTGCGGCACTACTCACAATAGCAAAGGCTTGGAACCAACCCAACATCCAACAATGATAGACTAGATTAAGAAAATGTGGCACATATACACCATGGAATACTATGCAGCCATAAAAAATGATGAGTTCATGTCCTTTGTAGGGACATGGATGAAGCTGGAAACCATCATTCTCAGCAAACTATCGCAAGGACAAAAAACCAAACACCGCATGTTCTCACTCATAGGTGGAAATTAAACAATGAGAACACATGGACACCAGAAGGGGAACATCACACACCGGGGACTGTTGTGGGGTGGGGGGAGGGGGGAGGGATAGCATTAGGAGATATACCTAATGCTAAATGATGAGTTAATGGGTGCAGCACACCAACATGGCACATGTATACATATGGAACTAACCTGCACGTTGTGCACATGTATCCTAAAACTTAAAGTATAATAATAAAAAATAAATAAAAAGGGTAGAATCATACAATTATATATATGTATACATACATATAAAATAGATATAAATATATGCATATATATTAGACAAATCTTCAAGGACCTCTTCTGAATTATGAATACATAAAATACAAATCTTCAAGGAACTGTTCTGAATTATGGATACAGAAAATACATGATAGACATATATATATATGTGTATATATATATGTCTATTATGTATATATGTCTATTACATATATAAATTTTATATATAATTATATTTTACATATGCATGTACATATATAAAATATGAAAATGTGTCAAAAAGATAAAGAACTTTCCATACATAATATCTGGAAATATCTATCCTGGTCTATACATAAATGAAGCAGTGTTGTATATAATAGATGCTCAGTAACGTTTTGTTGGATGAATGGACAAATGAGTATTGGGAATATAGGCTGCAAGTTATTAACTGATAATGTACACAATCAAAAGATCATCAAGGCCACCAATCTACAGAATTATTTCCAAATTATTCCTAACTCAGGAATCTAAGCTCTTCCCATCTCAGCCCTACTTCCCTTTTCTTCATCATCCCTCCATCCACCTTCCATCTACTTGTGATTGTTCTTCCCTCCCCAAAGGCTGTCTTGCTCCTCTCCTCTACTTGCTATGTCCTCCCTTCATCTCTGTCAAGCTTCAACTCATCCTTTCAAACCATATATAAACCCTCCATTCCCTATGAAGTCTTTACTAACTTCCTCTATCCTCCCTTTGCCTATTATCATCTTGCACAAAATTTTATTTTAGCTCTAATCACAATGTGTCATCATAATCTACATTTTAATCTTTCTCCTTCTCTTCTGCTTTGACTATAACAGGACAATGCTAGGCTCTGGCAGATGCTTAATTTCTATTTGTGGAAAAAGTGAAAAAAAATAATGAGTGAATGAATGATATTTTCCATTCCTAGCTGGACTCCTGAGACCTCTGTGAAATCTCCCCTACCCTGCCTTACCCTCATGCAGAGACTTCTCTCTCCTCTGACTGCCCCTGAAACATTGACTGCATCACTCTCTTACTCCTCTTACTCTTTCACTCTTGCATATCTTGTTTTCTTTTTACCTTCTTATGCTATTCTCACCTCTCCCAGCTTCTCCTCTACCATACTCTATACCTATCCTTCCGATCCACCTGTTATTCCCCAAATGCCTCTTTTGCATCTGAATTTCTGACTGATCCTTATGATCTCAAAAGTCTTCTAAATCATCTACCTGGCTCTCTCCTACTCAACTCTCAGAATTTGTGTCTGGCATCACCACCTCCAGCAAGCCTTCCTATACAACCAACCCAAACTCTCTGAAAGAGCCATTCAGAATTCAAGCCAAGCTAAACTAGGACTTCAAAACCAGAATGGGCCACCCCCGGGCCTCAAACCCTTGCCGTATATTAATTTCCCCTTGGTGCATTTACAATGAGCCTGGAAAGCTCCCCACTGTTCGGCTCTGCTTCCAAACTGCATGCTGTGACACAGGGAATTCTGTGTCAAACTTGCAATTAACTAACTACTGTATTTAAGCTAATCTGTCTAATTAATGACTGCTCTAGCCATCAGTGCTGATAAAGCAGGACTGTTCCCACTCTGGTAGCTTGGCTTCCTTGACTCACCCATGTAAGGAGAAGGATGTGGCACCCAGCCAGCCTCCATCAGAGCCCCAAGAATTTTTAGGTCAATTACAGAGGATTGAGTAGAACGATGAATTTGTATTTGCTGGCCTTCCAGGGCCCTCAGGAAGTGCTGGCCTGGGGTCCGAAATATTGTCATCTCCCCTACCTCAGTTAGAAGTGCCTTCAGGAGCATGCAAGACTCAGTGAACTATTTGCCAGGAAAATTTGCTGACACTCAGTCAAACTGGCATTGTGCTGGCGAAAACTTTTTCAAATGTTTCTACTCATTTCCTTTGAGGATTAAGGTAACTTAAGCATATCGTTTTTAAAAATTAATTGGGCTGGGTGTGGCGGCTCATCCCTGTAATCCTAGCACTTTGGGAGACTGAGGCAGGCAGATCACCCGGGGTCAGGAGTTCCAGATGAGCCTGGCCAACATGGTGAAACCCCGTCTCTACTAAAAATGCAAAAATTAGCCAGATTTGGCGGTGCATGCCTGTAATCCCACCTACTTGGGAGGCTGAGCCAGGAGAATCACTTGAACCCAGGAGACAGAGGTTACAATGAGCTGAGATGGCAACACTGCACTCCAGCCTGGGCCACAGAGTGAGACCCTGTTTCAAAAAAAAAAAAAATTTACACAAAATTAAATTTTCCCATTAATAAAATGTTACCTGCTAATCATAGAAGATTTAGAAAATACAGAAGAGTGAAAAGAAATATACCTTTTTATAAAGGTGAGCTCTTAAATTTTGATATTTACCTTCAGTATTTTTCCATGCAATTTTCTCAGTCTCATCATTTGTGTAGTTTTCACTATTCTATGAATGCAAATTTTTTTGAAATCTTGATTTTTCATTAGCATTTCCTAAATATGTCTCTCTTTCACCTGTTATGGACATCAACATGCATCTCAAATATAACATAATAATAATAGCTTATATTGAACATTTACAAGGATACATAGTACATTCAACTATGCCATATGTATATTCATCCAATTTGAATCTGTTCACCAATACCATGAGGTAGATACTATTATACTCATTTGCTCAATAAAGACATAGGCTCAGAGAAGGAAAATAACCCACCCAACCCCACAGCAGAGGCACTATTTTAATTCAGATCTTCTAAGTTCCAACATCTGCTCTGATAATCAACAATAATGCAGCCTAAAAACACTTTGGCCACTTTTTTCTACACATGGTGTTGCACGTATGAGAGAACATATCAACCGTCTATTTCAGAGTACAAGCAGTTCTGAGATTGGCTTGTTGTTCATGGCAAGCAGTATCCAGTCAACTCTCTTGGATAGGTAATGCAGAAGCAAAATAGAATGGGAGCTGAATATGAGTTTCTCTTGGTCATCAGCTTGAAACTCATCCCCAAGTTTATATCATCCTATCCACATTGTATTACTGTGATAATATCATCCTTGTAGTTATTGATATAACATGGGCTTGGGAGCACATAGACCTAATTTGAATGCTAGCTCTACCACTTGCTGTTTTCCTGGCCTTGAACAAGTTACATAGCCTTTGGGACCCTCATTTTTCCTATCCACAAAACAGAAATAATAATCTATTCTACAAAAATTCTCACTTTGAGTCTTAAATGAGAATAGCTAAGTAAGTTAATAGGTATAAAGCATTTTATACTGTCCTTGACAATTAGCAGAGTTCTATAAATGGTGGATATATTTTTATGTTTGTCTCATGACACTTGGAGTTTTGGTCTATCATTCATCTAGTCCTAGTTTGTTGTTGTTTTTAGCACCTATTCTGAGCCAAACTTTGAGCTAAGTTAGAAATGTGAAAATAAAAATGTTTGACTCACCTATACAGTTCCCTCTAACTTTTCTGAGAGGCCAGATATTCCTGCCTAAAAGCAGGAGGCTGGGAGAGAAAACAATTCCACGCCAGAGCAATGCCTCCAAGCCAAGCAACTTTTTTTTAAATTATACTTTAAGTTCTAGGGTACATGTGTACAACGTGCAGGCTTCTTACATATGTATACATGTGCCATGTTGCTGTGCTGCGCCCATTAACTCGTCATTTACATTAGGTATATCTCCTAATGCTATCCCTCCCCACTCCCCCTACCCCATGACAGGCCCCGGTGGGTGACGTTCCCCCTTCCTGTGTCCAGGTGTTCTCATTGTTCAATTCCCACCTATGAGTGAGAACATGCGGTGTTTGCAAGCAACTTTCATGGACATTGAGGAGAAGGGGGTTCTACCCACCCCAGGTGCCTCCCACAGTGGTGCTGCCAGGTAATATGTTTGTGGTATAAAGCTTCACAAAATGCTTATTGATTATTTATACTAATCACAACTAAAGTCAGTGGTTTACCCAAGAAGATCCTGAAAATGTGGTTCTGTGTTACTTCCTTTACATTTGGCTCACTTTCTCCTCCTCCTGAGCTTCCTCTCTGTTGCCTGAATTTTGCTGAACACCTCCCTAGAACTGCCTCTGAAATGGAGCTCGTCAGAATAGTGGTTGCTTACCTCTAGTTATGATTTAATTGATTAACATATGGATGTGTTCCTTATTTCAATACCGTTATCATAAGATGGGACTCTATTACCAGGATACGGCTTTATTATATCTACACCTCCTGCTCCATTCGGCAAAGTCTATGCACATACACAGCTGATCTCACTTTTGTGATCATAAGAATGTCAACCTGCAGCAACTCCTCTTCCTTATTTTCTGATGCTCCATCTGCCCAGATACTTTTTTATATATTCATTCACGTATTTGATTGTATTTCCATTAACTAATATTGATAATTTTTTCTTATCTCATATAAAACATTTTCCTTGTGATCAATAACACCTATTCAGCAGAATTCACAGATCAATAATGCCTATTCAGCCTATTCACAGAGTAGACAGACATAAAATCAAATATGGGGCTGAGCACAGTGGCTCATGCCCATAATCCCAGTGCTCTGGGAGGCTGAGACAGGAGGATTGCTTGAGGCCAGGAGTTTGAGACCAGTCTGAGCAACATAGTGAGACGCTGTCTCTCCAAAATAATTAAAAATTACCCAGGTATGGTGGCATGCACCTGTAGTCCCAGCTACTCGAGAGGCTGAGGTGGGAGGATTGCTTTGGCCCAGGAGTCTGAGACTACAACGAGCTGCGATAGTACCACTTTTCTCAAACCTGGGCAACAGAGTACCCTCTAAAAAACAAAATTAAGTGTGGAAAACATGATTAGGTAAAACAATCTTACAGTTGTACAAACTGTACAAGTTAGAGTGCTGACATAGAGGAGATTAGTTAATTCTGCTTGGCATGATCAGAAAAGGCCTCTCAGGGAAGGCAGAATGTGAAGTGTGTATTTTAAGATTCAGCATGAGACTGCCAGACACCTTCAATCCGATCAAAAAACAAACAAAGAAAGAGAACAGAGAGCAGGTTCACCCCAAGCCTAAACATGTGCCAAGACACGGATGCCTACACCATCATGAGGGGCCAAGTAACCATTAGGTTCTTCAGTATGGCTAGAGCATAGCGGGTATGGGGTTGACAGATGGAAAATGAGAATGGAGTAAGTTTGAAGCCAGATGAAGAAAGATTGTAGAACTCTATAGGGCTTCAAAGAGACATAACAAGAAAACGGAAATTATAATAGTAAGACATAATATTTTGTAAGACATAATAGAAAAATGGAAATCAGAATACCATGTTCATTTCTGGGTGACCCTGTGGCATAGCAACAGGACTCTAGGTAGTTGGAGGAGCATGAGGCTAGATTTAAGGCTGAAGTAGTACATCCCTAACCTCATAACCACTGCTACAGTTTGTTTGGCCTTGACAAGTCTCATGTTGAATTTTGATCCCCAGCGTTGAAGGTAGGAGCCTGGTGAGAGGGATTAGGGTAGTGGGGGCAGATCAGTCATGAATGGCTTGGTCTCATTCTCACAGTGAGTGAGTTCTCACTCTTACAATAATTCCCATGATAAATGGTTGTTGAAATGAGCCTGATACCTTTTCCTCTCTCTTCCTTTCTCACCTTGTGATGCCTGCTTCCCTTCACCTTGCACCATGAGTGGAAGATCCCTGGGGCCTTCACCAGAACCAGATGCTGGCGCCACACTTCTTGTACAGTCTGCAGAACCATGAGCCAAATAAACCTCTTTCCTTTATAAATTACCTAGCCTTGGGTATTCCTTTATAGCAATGCAAATGGACTAAGACACCCACTCCTTGCAACATAGATGTTAGGACCCTCCCTTCTCATACCTTCGGGGAAGAGAGTCCAAGCCCCACCTAGATCTGAGGTGGAAAGCACCAAATTGCAGCCATACAGGGGACCAGACTTTTAAGAAACAGTAACTCTATCTACTCACAAACATGGCAAAGTCCATGTCTTAAACTCTAACCAACCAGAATGCTTTGAACAGTTAATTGGAGGTTTTTTCCACATTCACATCCTGTGGGAAGCTAAGAAGGGGGTGGGTGGAGGCAGCCTCGATGAGGAGGAGTCGAGGTGTACCTTATTCCTGTTTACACTCAGGGCATGTGTGTCATTACCCCATGGAAAGGTGAGGCGACTTAGCATCAGAGAGGCTATGCATCCTGTCCAAAGTCACACAGCTTATAATTGATAGAAATAAAAAATTGAAATTCAGACCTGCCACACTCCAAAGTCTGCGCTTTTAACCACAATTTAGAATGATTGCTGATGACTGGGTGGAAAAAGCTTAGAGGAGATAGGAAGAGAAACAGAATGTTATTGCATTAGTCAAGGTAAGAAGAACTTGAATTAAAGAAGTGGCTATGTGGGGCAGCAGAAGGATACTGATGAGGGAGATAGGAGATAGAATGAACTGAATTTATTAGCTGACAGTGAAAAGCAAGGAAGAGGAAGGAGTCCAGGCTATGGCCTATAGCTCTCAGGGCAGAAATGACAGCATTGACAACTTTCCAGCTATCCTTCAGCTGTTCTCTCACCTAGAACCTCAGTTACCTCATCTTGAAACTTTTTGAAAGCTTCCTCAAATACCAGGACACCTGCTGACTGCTAAGCCTTGTTCTGTAACTACCCTGATATGATACAGCTGCTTTCTCCCAATCTTCTTGTCACCTTTGATTTCCCAACGAGCTCTTCCTCATTATTCACTAACCATTCTTCAAGACTCAGTTCATGTTCTGCCCCCTATAGACCAGCCAACTTCAGCCCCAAACAGAGCCATAGCCTCCTGAACTCCTGTGGCACTGTTTTATAGTAATGGTGAGCTGATGATTTACTTTATATTTGTATCTCCACTGCCTAACACGTATCTGGCATGTTGAACGCAAATGAATCAATTTTTTTTTAATTTTTCTCGTATACAAAAAGGGAATGAGAAGTCTTATCTCGGTGGATGGTTTTGAGGATAAAATGTAATAATAAAGGTAAGAGTGTACAGGTTGCAATGTGTGATGTACATGGAAGTGTAAAGGTTGTAATGTGTGATGTACATGTGCAATGTACATGGAAGTGTATAGGTTGCATTGTGTGATGTACATATTGACCTTATCACCATAGGTATTCTTAAGGCCAACATTCAGGAATTCTTCTCTCCAAGGAATAATGAGATGCAGGCTGTGCTGAACAGAATGAGAACAACTACTCCAGGGAACCTAAGCAAATACAAGGTGCTGGGGCTGGAATTGATGGGGTATGTAGGGACCAGCCAGGGAGAACAGGCTAGCCAGAGGCACAATCCAAATTCCTACTGAGGAAGAAACCTGAGAACTTTTCTCAAAACCAGAACAGTAGCAACTACTGGAACAGGAAGTACCAAAATGAAACACAACCAACAGTGCAAAGATAAACCGAAAGGCTACTGTTGAGGGTTCTAGCTTAGCCCTTTTTGTTTTAACATATCAGGATGTACTCAGATCATGTCAGAAACCCTAAAGGTACAGGTGGAATAGAATGAAAAGTGAACAGATAAACAAGCTGGCAAAAGGCAGAGCATGGGGTATCTTTAGTGCACAGGGAAATCATACATGACTCTAAAGAGAAAATGTGAGTTTTGGCAAGTGGTTCGGCACTAGAGCTGAGAAAAAGGTCAGGATGTCAGGGGCCTATTTTTCAATGGTACCTTCTGCTTGGTGTGATGGTAGGGAGAATAAACTGTCTCAAAAAAGATAAACTATAGACTTGAAAGGAAAGCCCCGCTTTATTTTAAAAAAAATGTTCAACTTCAGTATCCACTTTCCAAAAGAATTTCTGTCTAGACACCTATGCAGAAATAGCCCTGAACTTGAATTGGAAAATACAGCTTTCCACATAGCCTTAAACATATTTGTGAGGCCATCGCCTGTCCTGAAACAAACTGCCTCTAAAGCTCTGAAGCAACCCACCCCCTGGTTCTACAAGGTCGCTGGGAAGCAGATCCGTAGACAGCAGAGATGCAGAGGAAATATGAATGAACTGCCTGATCAATGGGTTCTTGGATGTCCAGGAAGGACCAGATATAAGCAACAGCAACTTGGCTGCTAAAGTCGCTGAAGAGCCCTTGAGAGAGGAGCCACCCAATTTTGAACCAATCAGAAAAGGCACAGACACGAGAAAGGAGGAAACAGAGGACTGGATCGATGCTGGTTCTGGGCCAGGTTGACTAGTGAAGCTAGAGTTCCTCAATTTCAAGGTCACCGGTATGAATCAAGAAAGGCTACACGTGACACATTAGGCAAAGTACGTGGCTCAGTGGCTTGAGCTGGTCACCATGAATGAGTGCGTCTGTGTGTGTGTGTGTATTTTTTTTTTTCTTTTGAGACAGAGTCTTGCTCTTTCGCCCAGGCTGGAGTGCAGTGGCGCGATCTCAGCTCACTGCAAACTCTGCCTCCTGGGTTCACGCCATTCTCCTGCCTCAGCCTCCCGAGTAGCTGGGACTACAGGCACCCGCCACCATGCCCGGCTAATTTTTTGTATTATTATTATTATTTTTTTAGTAGAGATGGGGTTTCACCATGTTAGCCAGGATGGTCTCGATCTCCTGACCTCGTGATCCACCAGCCTCGGCCTCCCAAACTGCTGGGATTACAGGTGTAAGCCACAGCACCCGGCTGTGTGTATTCTTACTCTGAAAAAGAATTGTTTTTTTCAACATCATTTATACTACTCTAAAGCTATGTTAGTTTGTTCTGCATTACTATAAAGAAATACCTGAGACTGAGTAATTTATTTTTTAAAAAGAAGTTTATTTTGGCTCAACATTCTGCAGACTGTGTAAGAAGCATCGTGCCAGCACCTGCTTCTGGTGTGGCCTCAGGAAGCTCACAATCATGGCAGAAGGCAAAGGGGGAACAGGCACATCACACAGCGAGAGTGTGAGCAAGGGGCAGGGTAAGTGCCACACTCTTAAAACAACTAGATCTCCCGTGAACTCAGAGCAAGAACTCACTCATGACCACGAGAAATCACAAAACCATTCAAGACAGATCTGCCTCGATGGCCCAAACACCTATCACCAGGCCCTACTTCCAACATTGGGGATTCCATTTCTACATGAGGTTTGAAGGGGACCAACATCCAAACCATATCAAAAGCTATGAACTCTTTATAGATTTACATAGTATCAGTGTCTTATCTCTGTTAGATAGATACTTAAGTACTTTAGGTACAAGTGAGAGAAACACAACCTAATCAAACCTAAGGAAAAAAAGGAATTTATCAACTTACTGATTCACATCATCTAAATGTCTAGAAAAATACTACCAAAGTCAGACAAGACCAGATCCTGGGATTCAGTCAAAATAGCGGAGATTCTACTACTCTTGCCAGTTCGTGGGTAGGGTCTTTCCACGTGAAAGAAAAGAGGGCAGAAATTCCATCTCACAGGAATCCTAGATTCAAAGGTTATTTCCAATGGAATTAAGTAAAAATTCCAGCAGAAAGCCTGTAGAAGATTCCAAGTTGTCCATCTTGGACCATTATGTCTATATCCCTAAACAAATCACTTTGGCGAGGAGAATGGGATATTCTTTTTTTTGTTTGTTTCTTTTTTTTATGTACTTTAAGTTTTAGGGTACATGTGCACAACGTGCAGGTTAGTTCCATATGTATACATGTGCCATGTTGGTGTGCTGCACCCAATAACTCATCATTTAACATTAGGTATATCTCCAAATGCTATCCCTCCCCCCTCCCCCCACCCCACAACAGTCCCGAGAGTGTGATGTTCCCCTTCCTGTGTCCATGTGTTCTCATTGTTCAATTCCCACCTATGAGTGACAACATGTGGTGTTTGGTTTTTTGCCCTTGCGATAGTTTGCTGAGAATGATGGTTTCCAGCTTCATCCAAGTCCCTACAAAGGACATGAACTCATCCTTTTTTATGGCTGCATAGTATTCCATGGTGTATATGTGCCACATTTTCTTAATCCAGTCTATCATTGTTGGACATCTGGGTTGGTTCCAAGTCTTTGCTATTGTGAATAGTGCCACAATAAACGTATGTGTGCATGTGTCTTTATAGCAGCATGATTTATAATCCTTTGGGTATATACCCAGTAATGGGATGGCTGGGTCAAATGGTATTTCCAGTTCTAGATCCCTGAGGAATCGCCACACTGACTTCCACAATGGTTGAACTAGTTTACAGTCCCACCAACAGTGTAAAAGTGTTCCTATTTCTCCACATCCTCTCCAGCGCCTGTTGTTTCCTGAATTTTTAATGTTCGCCATTCTAACTGGTGTGAGATGGTATCTCATTGTGGTTTTGATTTGCATTTCTCTGATGGCCAGTGATGATGAGCATATTCTTATGAAAACAGGGGTACAGGAAAAGAAGGTGCAGTGGGTGCAATAGAGAGAAAGAACAAATGTCTATACTTTTTCCTTTCCTGTGTTGTTAGGACTAGAGGAGATAGTATTTGGAAATCATGTTGTAAAGTGAAAATTTTTATAAAAATACAGAGATGTCTGACATTTAACTTAGGGGTAGTAAAGGTTGGTGCTGGTCCTCCAGTGTTCATAAATAGCTGAGAGATGAGTATGAGATCCATTCTTGAGTTTCCCTCCCACAGCGAGTACTAGAAAGAGACAGCCTTTGGAATGATGAGACCTGACTTGAAGTCTGGACTCCCCTCTGTTACCAGATACATAGCCTCAGATATGATCTACTCACTCCCAGAACTACTGGGAGGATTAAAAGAAGTGCAACAGGGCCAGGTGTGATGGCTCATGCCTGTAATCTCATCACTTTGGGAGGCCGAGGTGGGCAGATTAGGAGGCCAGGAGCTTGAGACCAGCCCGGCCAACAAGGTGAAACCCCGTCTCTACTAAAAATACAAAAATTAGCCAGGTGCAGTGGTGGGTGCCTGTAATCCCAGCTACTCAAGAGGCTGAGGCAGAAGAATCGCTTGAACTCGGGAGGTGGAGGTTGCAGTGAGCCGAGATGGCACCACTGCCTTCCAGTGTGGGTGACAGAGTGAGACTTCGACTCAAAAACAAACAAAAAAAGGGCAACACATGGAAGTGCTTTGAAACCTAAGGAGTTATATGCAAACATAAGAGAAAACAATAAGGGTTATGAAGCCAGGTTACAGGGCAAGCAGAAATGGGCAAGGTGCCAAAGACTAGGGGGCTGAGGTTTCCCCTGAGAGCCTGCAGGGCAGCTTCAAGTCCTGAAATAGAAAGGTCAGGAAGATAGAACTCTCTGGAATGACCAGTCACAGGAGCAGAGGTAGCCTGGGCAGTCACTGATGCTAAAAGCTCTTGGTGGACACTTGAGATGGAGGAAAGCTGAAGCTCACTGGGCTCATCCTATCCAGTCATACCAGCTTCTCTCCCTTGTTCTGCCTCACCCTGGTCCCACATCTCCACTTCACTACCCCAGGGAAGAATTTAAATACAAAAGAACTTCAGCAAACAAAGGTTATCCGGAAGGCGAGATCTTATTGTTAGTATCTCATTACCCAAGGGTTAATGCTGGATAATCTTAGTTCACCCAGACATGCCCTAAGGGCAGCTGGGAAGGAGAGAGAGAGAGAGAGAGAGGGAGAGAGAGAGAGAGAGGGAGAGAGAGAGGGAGGGAGAGAGAGAGAGAGAGAGAGAGAGAGAGAGAGAGAGAGAGAGAGAGAGAGAGAGGGAGAGAGAGAGAGAGAGGGAGAGAGAGACGGACGGGTAGAGAGAGAGGGAAGGGGAGAGAGAGAGAGGGAAGGGGAGAGAGAGAGGGAAGGGGAGAGAGAGAGAGGGAAGGGGAGAGAGAGGGAAGGGAAGGGGAGGGAGAGAGAGAGAAGGGGAGGGAGAGAGAGGCAAGGGGAGGGAGAGAGAGGGAAGGGGAGGGAGAGAGAGGGAAGGGGAGGGAGAGACAGGCAAGGGGAGGGAGAGACAGGGAAGGGGAGAGAGAGAGAGAGAGATTGAGATTGGAGAAAATGGGTTAGATTGATTTGACCAACATATGTGCATATTTTTTATACAAGCCTCTTGGATTTAGTCTTATCTGTTGATCCATGCTCCAAGGCTAGGGAAACAGCATCCCTGCTTTTGTCTGTATCTTAATTAATTCATTGATTCTGTTGCGATACTTTATTCTCATTCTCTAAACATCACACATCATCGCCCAATGCTATATATATATAGAGAGAGAGAGAGCCCGTGAGAGCGTGAGAGAGCGCGAGAGGGCGCAAGTGCACTGTTGTTGCTTATTTATTTGTTCTGTTATTTGAGATGGAGTCTCACTCTGTCACCCAGGCTGGAGTGCAGTGGCACAATCTCTCAGCTCACTACAACCTCCGCCTCCTGGGTTCAAGCGATTCTCCTGCCTCAACCTCCTGAGTAGCTGAGATTACACGTGGCCACCACCACGCCCAGCTATTTTTTGTATTTTTAGTAGAGAGGGGGTTTCACCATGTTGGCCAGGCTGGTCTTGAACTCCTGACCTGAAGTGATCCACCCAACTCAGCCTCCCAAAGTACTGGGATTACAGGCATAAGCCACCACACCCGGCTCAATGCTATTATATTAAACTTTGCAGATTCCCTACTCTGTGCCAGGCCCTGTGCTAGGATTTGAGGGTGTGAAAACGAGTAACTCATTGTCCTTGTCATTCCAAGAAGCCAAGCAGGAAAGTGAGTGCAGCATGAGGAATGGAATGATGGGGCGAGTCCAGATGAGCTGGAGGACCAGAAGAGTGGAATCAAACCCAGCCCAAGGAGGCATTCCAGGAATTCTTTCTGAAGGAGGTGATCACTAGGCAAAGTGGGCATTATCCAAGCAAAAGAATGTGGGAAGGCCATTTTGTGGTAAAGAAATAAGACAAGCAGCGTAATACATGGAGAGATAATGAAAAAATTTGTTTTACTAGAGTATAAAGTATGAGGCAGAAATGAAGTCATTGAGGGGATAATATCCTGAAGGTATGTGGCATGTGCTAAAAAGCATGTACCTGATCCTGTAGTTTTTAGGGAACCACGGAAGAACCCTAACAGGAATGTCATGGCCTTATTTTTTTATATCAGAAAGATCTTTGGTGCCTGCATGGATGATCTATTTGAGGTGAACCTGGGTATAGAAAATAGAAATCCAGAGCAATAATTCAGGTGAGAGATAATAACATGTTGAATTAAGGCAGACTGCTAGTAGGGATGAGAGAAGGGAATTAATTAAAATATATTTGTAAGATAAAATTGGCCAGATGGGTAACTGATTGAATGTATTGCTGAGGGAGAGGACAGAATCAAGAATAACTCCCAGGCTTCTGACTCCAGGGACTGGTGATGGTATGAAATGAGTCAGTCATCATAGGAGAGTAGGTTTAATGGGAAAGATGGTAAGTTTCGCTTAGGACATTTTTGAAATTGTGGTGTTCATGGAACATCAAAATGGAGATGTCTAGTAAGTAGATGCATAGACATGTCTCTATATCGGGGAGACATAAAGGTGGTCATGATCAGACTAGAGGTGGTAGTTAACGCCACAGAAGCATGTGTGATGGCTTAAGAAAAACTTACAGACTGATAGAAGGAGTTAGGTGTGCATGCCAAGAATCTAAGATTTAAAGAAAGGAGGAGGAGGCAGAGCAGATACAAGATGCCAAGGAGAGAATGGGCCAGGAAAGCAAAGACACAGAAGAGAGAAATTTCAACATGGAAGGAGATGGTCATGACTGTCAAACGCTGCTGAGATATCAGGCAAGGTGAAGACTGAAAAGAGCCATTGGGAAGTGGCAGTTGGGAAGTCACAGATGACCTTGAGAAGAGTGACTACAATTGAATGTGGTCAGTTTGAGGGAGTCAGTTAATAGGAGCCCTCTTTCCAGTCTGTGGTCAGAACCAACTGAGAAATTCAGACACAAAAATCAGATGGAAAGCAAAACGCAGCTTAGATGTGTGGTCAAATAAGCTTGTTAATTTTCCCTCCCCCTCGAAACTTCACCCGCCTCTTCCCCAAATGTAGTCCTCTTGGTTTGCAGAGAATATGCCCAAATAAATGTAAAGCATGGATGAACAGATAAGCCTGAAAGACTAGGGGAAAAGAATTCAGCAAGTAGACTTCAGCCTTTTTCCAATCCCATCAACTAGACAAGTCTATCCATCCAGCAAGAAGAGGAAAGAAGAGTGAAGTTTCCTTCTTAGTTAAGCTTTATCCCAGTGAGGTAAGAAAGAGTTACTTTCTCCCTTTGTGAAACAAGAATGAGAGAGAAAAATACTTGTATTTTATTTCTTAAATTTTTTAAGTTCCAGGGTACATGTGCAGAATGTGCAGGTTTGTTACATAGGTAAACGTGTGCCATGGCGGTTTGCTGCACCTATTAAACCATCACCTAGGTATTAAACTTGGCATGCATTAGCTCTTTTCCCTAATGCTCTCCCCACCCAACCCCACCCTCCCCCAATAGGTTCCAGTGTGTGTTGTTCCCCTCTCTGTATCCATGTGTTCTCAATGTTCAGCTCCCACTTATAAGTGAGAACATGTGGTGTTCGGTTTTCTGTTCCTGCATTAGTTTGCTGAAGATAATGGCTTCCAGCGTCACCCATGTTCCTGCAAGGGACATGATCTCATTCCTTTTTATGGCTGCATAGTATTCCACAGTGTATATGTACCACGTTTTCTTTACCCAGTCTATCATTGATGGGCATTTGGATTGATCCCACATCTTTGCTATTGTGAACAGTGCTGCAGTGAACATAAGTGTGCATGTATCTTTATAATAGAATGATTTACATTCCTTTGGGTATATACCCAGTAATGGGATTACTGGGTCAAACGATATTTCCAGTTCTAAATCTTTGAGAAATCGCCACACTGTCTTCCACAATGGTTGAACTAATTTACATTCCCATCAATAGTGTAAAAGTGTTCCTATTCTTCCACAACCTCGCCAGCATCTGTTGTTTCTTGCCTTTTTAATAACTGCCATTCTGACTAACAGGAATAAAATCCAGATTTCAAGACACTGAGGAGTGGATGGAAGTTGAGGAAGCAGAGGCTGCTAATGTGGGCAGCTCCTTCTGGGAACCATACGGGAAGAACAGGAGAGAAAGATTGAAGAGAGGAGGATTGGAGTGACTGGGCCAGAGCACACGGATGTCTTCTATAACAGATTCTTAGATTTAGTCTTATCTGGTAGACCCTGCCCAAAGGCTGTGACTCATTCTTGATTTTAATATACAAAACGCCCTGATGTAGGAGACACAGGGCCTTGTCTTAACCAAGCAAATTAGTAAAATTCACTTTTTTGTTAAGAACACTTTGCTCGGTGATGGTAGAAAAAACACTGGGCTGGGAGTCAGAATGTCTAGACTCAAACACCAGGTCTTTTGCTTACTTCTTGTATCACCTTGAGTAAGTCTCTTAATTATTCTGAGTCCCAGATTTTCCATTTCAAAAATGAAAATAGTTGGCCATATTTCACAGGGTGGTGTGAAAATCAGGTCAGATGAAATCAAATCACATCAGGTAAATATCAGTTGGAGAATGTATATGAGAAGCACTCAGCACATAGCTCAGGTGCTCAATAAATGCTTGTTGATTCTAAATCTATTTACTAGCAATAATATTCTTCTATAAAAACATCTAAAAACTACAATTTAGGACTATTACACATGGCAGTCAGTCTACTGTCACCCCTCTGGGAAGACTGTCTTTGTGTTCAAAGAGAAGAAATGTCAGGCTAGGAGTCTGGCTAACTGCTCAGAGCAGACTATCAGAATCACTCTTTTCTAGAGTTTAGTCTCAGTTTTACAGATTTGGATCTTCACATTTTTCTCAATACCTAGAGGTGATAAAATTTCTAGGGTGGATTCACACTGCCCAACTTGACAAGAGACTGATATATAATATAGGCACCAATTTATTTTCAACAAATCTTCTAATTAGTGATAATATTCAATATATTAGGTTTGTTCTTTCAATCATTCATTCAATGCTTCATTTCATTATGTGCTAGATAGTGTATGAATATGAAATATAAATAATTGTCTCTTTCCCTTAGGAGCTAACAGTCTGTTAGCAGAGACAAGCATGCAAACAAATTGCATACAAAGCAAGAAATGAGTGCAAAACTCCAAGATTAGGGACCTCAGTGACACCAAAGAGAGGCTAACCCTGCTTGAAGGAATCAGGGGACATTTGAGAGTGAGCAGCTACTTCAGCTGGGTCTTGAAGGGTAGGTAGGAGTTTGTCAGATGGAGATGGTGAGAAAACACACTTCAAATAGAAAGAACAGCACTCACAAAGCTATGGAAGCACAAAATGGCCTGCCCACTCCAGGAGCAACTCATTGTGGAAACAAGTTTAGTATGACCTGAGAGTAGGATGCAAGTGATGGAAGCCAAAGTGGAAAGTTACATACCATATCAGCGAAGGCTATGAATGTGGGAAGCTTGGACTCAGCCTGTAGGCAGGGGGTAGTGATAGAGAGGGGCAGCATGCACCATTTTTCTCCTGTAGGGAGGCTACACATGAAACCATAGTCTTCCAGGGTATTGCTTGCTGAATCTGATATCAGAACAAGCATATTTTGAAGGCATTCACCATTAGGATCATCCAGCTCTCCTGCTTAGTTCATTACCCAGTGGTCTACCATCATCATTGGCCAGAGTACCCCCAATCTTCCACGAATGAAGGAAATCTTCTAGGCCCCCATATGGATAATGTGCAAACAGTAACAAAATCTTTTTTTTTTAACCTAATTATAATATAGCTTAGCAGTTAAGGGTATGGAGCCAGACTGATTAGATGTAAATCCTGGCTTATCCATGGACAAGTTATAGGACCTAAAATGTGAGTTTAACCCTTTCATGACTCACTTTCCTCATGTAAAATGGGGGATAATATAACTGCCTACCTTAAAGTGCTGTTGAATTAAATGAGTTCATATACTGTATACATGTACTTGGAACAGCACCCAGCTCATGGGAAAAGCTAGGAATGTTAGTTCTTGTTATTATATCTTAGCAATTAAATTACAGCTTTAAAAGTTCTACTATAGATGGAGGCTGGCGAGATGGCTGAATAGGAACAGCTCCGGTCTGCAGCTCCCAGCGAGATCAACACAGAAGGCAGGTGATTTCTGCATTTCCAACTAAGGTACCCAGCTTATCTCACTGGGACTGGTTAGACAGGGGTGCAGCCCATGGAGGGAAGCCGAAGCAGGGTGGGTCATCACCTCACCCAGGAAGCATAAGGGATCGCAGAACTCTCTCCCCTAGCCAAGGAAAGCTGGGAGGAACTGTGCTGTGAGGAATGGTGCACTCCGGCCCAGATACTATGCTTTTCCCATGGTCTTCGCAACCCACAAACCAGGAGATTCCCTCCGGTGCCTATGCCACCAGGGCCCTGGGTTTCAAGCATAAAACTGGGCAGCCATTTGGGCAGACACTGAGCTAGCTGCAGGAGTTTATTTTCATACCCTAGTGGCTCCTGGAATGCGAGCGAGACAGAACCGTTTACTCCCCTGGAAAGGGGCCTGAAGCCAGGGAGGCAAGTGGTCTACCTCAGTGGATCCCACCCCCATGGAGCCCAGCAAGCTAAGATCCAATGGCTTGAAACACTCGCTGCCAGCATAGCAGTCTGAAGTCGACCTGGGACCCTTGAGCTTGGTGGGGGGAGGGGCATCCACTATTACTGAGGCTTAAGTAGGAGGTTTTCCCCTCACAATGTAAACAAAGCAGCACGGGGAAGTTTCAACTAGGTGGAGCCCTCTACAGCTCAGCAAAGACTCTGTAGTCAGACTGCCTCTTTAGATTCCTCCACCCTGGACAGGGCATCTCTGAAAAAAAAGCTCCAATCAGGGGCTTTTAGATAAAACTCCCATCTCCCTGGGACAGAGTACCTGGGGAAAGGGGCAGCTGTGGGTGCAGCTTCAGCAGATTTAAATGTCCCTGCCTGCTGGCTCTGAAAAAAGCAGCGGATCCCCCAGCACAGGGTTTGAGCTCTGCTGAGGGTCAGACTGCCTCAAGTGGGTTCCTGACCTCTGTGTCTCTTGACTGGGAGACACTTCCCAGCAGGGCCTTCAGACACCTCATACAGGAGAGCTCCAGCTGGTATCTGGTGGGTGCCCCTCTGGGACAAAACTTCCAAGAGGAAGGAACAGACAGCAATCTTTACTGTTCTGCAGTCTCCACTGGTAATACTAAAAAGATAAAGAAGGACATTACATAATGGTAAAGGGAACAATTCAACAAGAAGAGCTAACTATTCTGAATATATATGCACCCAATACAGGAGCACCCAGATTCATAAAACAAGTTCTCAGAGACCTACAAAGAGACTTAGACTCCCACACAGTAATAGTGGGAGACTTTAACATCCCATTGTCAGTATTAGACAGATCAACAAGACAGAAAATTAACAAGGATATTCAGGACTTGAACTCAGCTCTGGACCAAGCAGACCTAATAGATATCTACAGAACTCTCCACCCCATATCAACAGAATATACGTTCTTCTCAGCACCACATTGCACTTATTCTAAAATTGACCACATAATTGGAAGTAAAACACTCCTCAGCAAATGCAAAAGAATGGAAATCATAACAAACAGTCTCTCAGACCACAGTGCAATCAAATTAGAACTCAAGATTAACATACTCACTCAAATCCGGACAACCACATGGAAACTGAACAACCTGCTCCTGAATGACTACTGAGTAAATAATGAAATTAAGGCAGATATAAATAAGTTATTTGAAACCAATGAGAACAAAGACACAATGTACCAGAATCTCTGGGACACAGCCAAAGCAGTGTTTAGAGGGAAATTCATAGCACTAAATGCCCACAAGAGAAAGCAGGAAAAATCTAAAATCGACACCCTAACATCACAATGTAAAGAACTAGAGAAGCAAGAGCAAACAAATTCAAAAGTTAGCAGAAGGCAAGAAATAGCTAAGATCAGAGCAGAACTGAAGGAGATAGAGACACACAAAACCCTTCAAAAAAAAATCAATGAATCCAGGATCTGGTTTTTTGAAAAGACCAACAAAATAGACCACTAGCTAGGCTAATAAAGAAGAAAAGAGAGAAGAATCAAATAGACACAACAAAAAATGATGAAGGGGATATCACCACTAATACCACAGAAATACAAACTACCATCGGAGAATACTATAAACACATCTACACAAATAAACTAGAAAATCTAGAAGAAATGGATAAATACCTGAACACATACACTCTCCCAAGTCTAAACCAGGAAGAAGTCAAATCCCCGAATAGACCAATAACAAGTTCTGAAATTGAGGCAGTAACTAATAGCCTACCAACCAAAAAAAGTCCAGGACCAGACAGATTCACAGCCGAATTCTACCAGAAGTACAAAGAGGAGCTAGTACCAATTTTCCTGAAACTATTCCAAACAATAGAAAAAGAGGGACTCCTCCCCCTAACTCATTTTATGAAGCCAGCATCATCCTGATACCCAAACGTGGAAGAGATAAAACATAAAAAGAACATTTCAGGCCAATATCCCTGATGAACAGTGATGCAAAAATCCTCAATAAAATACTGACAAACTGAATCCAGCAGCACATCAAAAAGCTTATCCACCACGATCAAGTCAGCTTCACCTCTGGGATGCAAGGCTGGTTCAGCATACACAAATCAATAAACGTAATCCATCATATAAACAGAACCAATGATAAAAACCACACGATTACCTCAAGAGAGAAATGGCCCTGGATAAAATTCAATGCCCTTTCATGTTAAAAACTCTCAATAAACTAGGTATTGATGGAATGTATCTCAAAATAATAAGAGCTATTCATGAGAAACCCACAAGCAATATCATACTGAATGAGCAAAAACTGGAAGCATTCCCTTCAAAAACCAGCACAAGACAAGGATGTCCTCTCTTGCCATGCCTATTCAACATAGTATTGGAAGTTCTGGCCAGGGCAATCAAGCAAGAGAAAGAAATAAAGGTATTCTAATAGGAAGAGAGGAAGTCAAATTATCTCTGTTTGCAGATGACATGATTGTATATTGAGAAAACCCCATCCTCTCAGCCAAAAATCTCCTTAAGCTGATAAGCAACTTCAGCAAAGTCTCAGGATACAAAATCAATGTGCAAATATCACAAGCATTCCTATACAGCAACAATAGACAAGCAGAGAGCCAAATCGTGAGTGAACTCCCATTCACAATTGCTTCAAAGAGAATAAAATACCTAAAAATCCAACTTACAAGCAATGTGAAGGACCTCTTCAAGGAGAACTACAAACAACTGCTCAAGGAAATAAGAGAGGACACAAACAAATGGAAAAACATTCCATGCTCATGAAAATAAAGAATCAAAATCATGAAAATGGCCATACTGCCCAAAGTAATTTATATATTCAATGCTATACCCATCAAGCTACCATCAACTTTCTTCACAGAATTAGAAAAATCTACTTTAAATTTCATATGGAACCAAAAAAGAGCCCACATAGCCAAGAAAATCCTAAGCAAAAAGAACAATGCTGGAGGCATCTCACTACCTGACTTCAAACTATACTACAAGGCTACAGTAACCAAAACAGCATTGTACTGGTACCAAAACAGATACATAGACCAATGGAACAGAACAGAGGCCTCAGAAATAACACCACACATCTACAACCATCTGATCTTTGACAAACCTGACAAAAGCAAGCAATGGGGAAAAGGTTCCCTATTTAATAAATGGTGTTGGGAAAACTGGCTAGCCATATGCAGAAAACTGAAACTGGACCCCTTCCTTACACCTTATACAAAAATTAACTCAAGGTGGATTAACGACTTCAATGTAAGACCTAAAACCATAAAAACACTAGAAGAAAACCTAGGCAATACTATTCAGGACATAGGCATGGGCAAAGACTTCATGACTAAAACACCAAAAGCAATGGCAACGAAAGCCAAAATTAACAAATGGGATCTAATTAAACTAAATAGCTTCTGCACAGCAAAATAAACTATCATCAGAGTGAACAGGCAACCTACAGAATGGGAGAAAATTTTTGCAATCTATCCATGTGACAAAGGGCTAATATCCAGAATACACAAAGAACTTAAACAAATTTACAAGAAAAAAACAAACAACCCCATCGAAAAGTGGACAAAGTATATGAACAGATGCTTCTCAAAAGAATTTATGCAGCCAACAAACGTATGAAGAAAAGCTCATCATCACTGGTCATTAGAGAAATGCAAATCAAACCACAATGAGATAACATCTCACATCAGTTAGAACGGCGATCATTAAAAAGTCAGGAAACAACAGACGCTGGAGAGGATGTGGAGAAATAGGAACACTTATCCTGCTGGTGGGGAGTATAAATTAGTTCAACCATTGTGGAAGGCAGTGTGGCGATTCCTCAAGGATCTAGAACCAGAAATACCATTTGACCCAGCAATCCCATTGCTGGGTATATACCCAAAGAATTATAAATTATTCTACTATAAAGACACATGCACATGTATGTTTACTGCAGCACTGTTCACAATAGCAAAGACTTGGAACCAACTCAAATGCCCATCAATGATAGACTGGATAAAGAAAATGTGGCACATATACCCCATGGAATCGTATGCAGCCATAAAAAAAAGATGAGTTCATATCCTTTGCAGGGACATGGATAAAGCTGAAAACCATCATTCTCAGCAAAATAACATAATAACAGAAGACCAAACACTGCATGTTCTCATTCATAAGTGGGAGTTGAACAATGAGAACACATGGACACAGGGAGGGAAACATCACACACCAGGGCCTGTTGCGGGGTGGGGTGCTAGGGGACGGATAGCATTAGGAGAAATACCTAATGTAGATGACGGGTTGATGGGTGCAGCAAACCACCATGGCATGTGTATACCTATGTAACAAACCTGCACGTTCTGCACATGTATCCCAGAACTTGGTGTATAATAAAATTTTTTTTTAAAAAGTTCTACTATAGACCCAAGGAATTTTTAGACTCTGTAGGAGTTTCTCTAGTGTTAATTAAAGCTATTCAAGCTACCAAGATTCAAATCCTGGCTCTAGCCTTCAGTGTCTACCATTCAATTTTTCACAAGTTACAAAACTCAGTGAGCCTCAATTTCCCCATCTTGTACTATGAAAACAGTAATATGCACCTCAAAAGGCTATTGTGAAGGCTTAATGCAATAAAGTTTGCAAATGTTTGTGTCACACAGGGGAGGTGTAATAATTTATTTTTAATTCCACTAGAAACCAGCCAAAAGTCACTCTTTCCTATACTGAGTAAGAATAGAAACCCAGTAAGATTTTTGTCAAATAGGTTGCAGAGATGAAAAACTGAAATAAGAACTGACTTCAAATTTGTCTTTAAATTGCAGCAAATAGATTAGACATGATTTATCCAGATAAAAATTGCCTAAACTGATTTGAAGATTGTGACAAATGTCTTCTTCTACATTGACCCTAAATTCAAGTTGTAGGCACATCTATTCCAGATCTCTTTCATGTAGATAAATGGTACTGAAGCTGCATGGACTACGATAGCTCACCTTTGTCACAGACTTTGGATTTCTGTACAAGTTGCTTTTGAAGTCCCGGAGTATATATCTCTCTGACCAGAAAAGGCTCCAGTTTGAAGTTGACTCTGAATTAATCTAACTGCCCTTTGGATATACTCAAATGTTCCCCTGCTGTAGACTCACCTTCAGTGAACATCCATCTACAAACATTTCTTTTGAAATTTACCCATCTAGGTAGCCAATTTATCACTGGTAAGATATAGAGTTTAGATTATTAAAGATTCTTAATGAAGATATATGTGGAATGCATGGAGAATTGGGGAGATGTCAATATTTTCACAGTGGATGTGCTTTCTCCTAGCAGTGAAAGCCTCTTGGAGATTTTGATACTTGCTTTCCTAGAGGAAGGAAAAAGGAGAAAATAGTGTAGCTGAGCTCCCTCCCTGTCTCTTACTACTGAGAAGCACAGCAATGTGTAATGAGAGCTGTTCTTACAGGAGTATCAGTAACATTTATGAAGAGGAAATGTGGAAAACTATTGGATTATAATATTTCTAAGAGCTTTGGCAACTACACTGAGGCAACTGAAACAGCATTGGCTTAGAAACTAGAAAGGCATTATTCAAATCCCAATTATATCTTGTATTAGTTAGAATGAAACGTTGTTCAAGTTGTCTTAGCTTTGATTTCTCCATCTATAAAATGGGGATAATGATAACTAGCTCATAGAAGAGTGAGAAATTACACATGAAATGATAATCATGCTGAATCACAAATTTAAGTACTCAAAAATATTAGATCCCTTTTCTCTAACATCCCAAATCTCTGACGTAATGAGAAGTTACAGGCATGAATAGTTTCACTCTATATTGGGAAGAACTTTCGAACATTGGGGGTTTCCCGGCAATGTAATAAATTGCTTCATACGATACTGAAACCCCAACCCCTATAGTCTCCTGAAAATATTCAGACATAGACTCAACAATTTTGTTATGGCCATTTTGAAGATGATGACTTAGGAGGTTGGACTACATGCCATTTAAACTCAAAGATTTTAAGATTCTTTAAAACCCACTCCTAATTTTTAAAATTCTCTAACAGGATGCTAACAGGATGAATTAATGCTTCTGAGGATGTCCAGATTATTCACAGGAGTTCATAGTGAGATGCCCTCATGACCCACATAAAAACGACACTCAAATATAAGCTTGACCATGAGAACGAAGTTCTACTGACATTATTTAACCTCAAGGGCATCCACCTCCTTGAGACATCATTAATTGCTTTAGTGTAGAAAAATGAAGATGATACAGTGTCACAACTGTCAGCTGAAAAAATGAAGAAAGTATTCAGCCAAATGGTTGTTCATCTAGTTGACCCCAAACAGCCCATTTGACTGATTGTTCTCTGAACTGACATAAACTAATTGCCGTGTTGATTAGAGGAAGGTAAAATGATCCAGAGTCTCCAGGGTTGCCACTGACTCTTTATAGAGAGGAAGCAAGGCTTTGTGATGAAAACCTAGGCTTTAGTCCCATGCCTGCCTCTTACGACTGTTTGTTTTTGGGCTAGTCATTACATAACCTGGATTTTTATTTCCTGATCTCAAAAAGAGGTTGTATTAGTCTTTTATCACACTGCTATAAAGAATACCTGAGACTGGGTATTTATGAAGAAAAAAATGGACGTTTAACTGACTCACAGTTCTGCATGGCTGAGGAGACCTCAGGAAACATACAATCATGGTCGAAGGGAAAGGCAAAGCAAGGCATGTCTTACACGGCAGCAGGAAAAGAGAGAGTGAGGAAGTGCCATATTTTAAAACCATCAGCTCTCATGAGAACTCACTCTCTAGCACAAGAACAGCATAGGAGAAACCACCCCCATGATCCAATCACCTCCCACCAGTTCCCTCTGATGCTTGGGGATTACAATTCAAGATGAGATTTGGGTGGGGACACAGAGCCAAACCATATCAGGTGAAACCAAGTACCCTTGAAACACTTTGTAGAGATGTTGTAATAATAATTGAGATATGATTATCAAATGAAGGGAGTAAAAAAAGCAAAATAGACAAAACCTTTCAATCCACAATGTTTTCAGAGCAGCTCCAATATTGGCTTAGGATTTCTTGTCAAGAAAGGATGCCAAAGTTTTAAAAGTCTGAAAACCCTTCAATGCTTTTATTTATTCATTCATATATTCATATATATTTACTTTGTCCTGGTATATGCCATGCAGTGTCCTAGACCCTGGAAATACAACAGCGGCCAATACTGACAAAGTCCTGGCCTTCCTTCATGGGGGTCATATTCTAATGGGATCATGGTCATAGGACTTTGAAGGAAATTTTATTAGAGGGTCGGCTCTAAGAAAACCAACAAGTCTGGTTATTACTTGGAGAACACAAGAGATCTGAGTGTAAAAATTAAATCTCTATGTTGAATTTCCCAAGCAGTTGTGCTTATTTTGCCAGAAACACTTTTGCTTTGGGGGAAGAAGGTTGCCAAATGGCAGGAATGGTTCCAGTGGACTAATCCAGACATCCTCCCCTGGCTGAGGTAAGAAGCCCATTGCTCAAAATTACTTACAAATGTCCTCTTTGTGATACCCCAGATTCATCATTCTCCACTCCTTAATTGTATTAATGCTTAATCTCTAACCAGTGGCTATCTATGGATTGGGGAAGTTTTTCTTCAAGTGTAGGTCATTTCCATACCACTTTCTATATATTTTTTTCTTTTTTTGCTATATCTATATACTCCATTAGCATTTACTTACTGTCTAGGTTTAAATCTACTCACATTATACTTAATTAAATTACTTAACTAAGAATGTCTAGTAAATGAAAAACCAGAACTCCTCCCCACAAACCAGAAGGTATGCATAAAGAATAAATTCTACAAAGTCAATATAATGTCATTAAACTTGAAAGTGCTGCCAGCTACAGGTTCTGAGCCTGAGGCCTGCTCTCTCTCTGTTAAAATACATTACAGCAAGGGTTAGAATGCTACTGAGGATATGGTGACACTCAACTGGGACTTTCTGCTTGCCTTAATCAGAAACAATGGAAGATGAACAAGGATTAACTGTTTCATCATGTTGCTCAATGTTATTTCATTCTACAGCTGCACACCATCTAAACTTCTCTAAAGTCCCAGCAGTGCTAACTGCCCCACTTCGGAAAGCCATGTCTAGGGAGCTTGGCTTTGGTAGATCTTACTATTAGGCTGTGTGATGCCTCCGCTCCAGTAGACATTCCCCTTCCTTTGTCCTGCTGCTGTGCTAAGGATATGCGTGTATACATCACTCACCTAGGGATGAAGTCCCTGTGTCTCAGCTCCAGACCTGTCCTTCTTTGCTCTGTTTCTAAGGCTGAAACTAGGGCTCTCTGCAAACCACATATCTCCCTGTATTAGTATTAGTCTGTTCTCATGCTGCTAATGAAGACATACCCGAGACTGGGTAATTTATAAAGGAGAAGGGTTTAATTGACTCACAGTTCCACATGGTTGGAGAGGCCTCACAGTCATGGCGGAAGGTGAATGAAGAGCAAAATCACATCTTACATGGCATCAGGCAAGAGAGCTTGTGCAGGGAAACTCCGATTTATAAAACTACCAGATCTCATGAGACTTATTCACTAACATGAAAACAGCACAGGAAAAACGCACTGCCATGATTCAATTACCTCCCACCGGGTCCCTCCCACAACACGTGGGGATTATGGGAGCTACAATTCAAGACAAGATTTGGGTGGGGACACAGTCAAACCCTATCACTCCCTTACTATGGGAGTTCTTACTATATTCTGCCAGTCATTTGCATTCCAGGGGGGCTGCACGGCAGGAAGAAGGGATTTGCTTCTTTCTGTGGGCCTGTGGTTTCTGTCAGTTTTGCCCCAGCATTGCCTTTCACCTGGCACAGGTGTTGTTTGTACTTTATAGTTTCTTTATGCCCTCCCAGTACCAACTGGTCAATGTCCTTCCATTGGAGGGAGGGGTGCATCTGCATGCATCTCTACTGGGGTCCCCTGAGCTCCCGAGGCACCAGCATCAACCAGGAAGGAAGTATGCTTTCCTTGAGATCTGCATCCTGGTTCCTTAGGGCTCCTCTTCCAGGTTTTTAGGATCTGGTAACCCCAACTACCCCCTTTTCCTCACCAGCCCTATTAGTGATGGCTACCTCCTAAATTACAATCTCTCCAGCACTCCAGTGCTTCCTTTGGCTTTCTCAGTTTCCCCAACTCTCTTTGACAAATCCCTATGATCATACTCTCTTGGCTAAAATACTTAGTGTTCTTTCTGTCTTCCTGACTGGACCCTGACTGGAAGGTATTTTGTTCACATCTTTCTCACTACACTGAGCTCCTTAAGAACAGAGATCATTACTAAGCACACAACCAATGTTATCTGAAAGCTTCTTTGCCAAATGAAACAATTCTGCCTTCTCACTATTGCTGCTGATCACCTCTTCCTACCTCTTTCTTCATCCCCATGAAGAGAGAGCTGCTAATCTGATTGGTTAGCATCCAAGACATTGGCTTTGCATTCTTCTCCTAGTAGTCAGGGCACCCAGGAGCCATTCCCTCTTCGGTGCCTCCTATTCCACTCTGTATTGAATCAAGTTCTTTTCAAGGTCCACCTGTCTTTCTGTTTACCCTATGAGCAATCAAAACATCCTGCTCCTAAGGTTTTTATTTAAGGGAAAATAGGAGCGTCACTTGGAACTGCAGGGCTAAGCCCAATAGCTCAATACAACTTTTATCATAGATCTATACATTGGGGTTACTGAGTGCTGGGTCCACTAATAATGAAATAGAATTTGGACACATCTTTCGGTTGGTTCTTATGTGTTTTGCTCCCTTAGGAACTTGGTGGAGATGAGAGTCATATTATTTTCAACTACTGCATAATAAATGACCCCACAACTTAATGGGTTGAAAAAAAACCAACATTTATTTGCTCATGATTCTGCAGGCTGGTGATTTGGACAGGGCTCAGCCTAAAAAATCATTGTTATGCAATGTGGTGTCAGCTGGGCACATTGATGTGCTTGTGTTCAGTTGTTAGATTAGCCAAGGGCTGGCTGGCCCCGGATGTCCGATTATTTGCTGAGATGATGAGCACAAATGACCCCATGTCTCTCCAAGTCTCTCATCCAGCTAGTTAGTGTGGACTTCTTCATATGCTGGCTACGTCCAAAAAACAGCAAGAGAAAGAGACCAAGCCCTAATGTGCAGGTGGTTTTCAAGTCTCTGCCGTCATTTCATTGACCCAAACAAATAAGGTCACATGGCCAAGCCCAGAGTCAGTGTGGGAAGGAACATGGCTGTAAGACCCTGCATGATCCAGACCCATGCTTGCCTCTCTGATTTTATCTCTAGCTAGCCTCCCCCGACCCCCACACAAATCTCCTTCTTCCTCCTTCTATCTGCTTCACTCTAGCCCTATTTTACAGTTTAGACTTATAGAAATCATTATATCACTCTCTTCTAACCTTTACTTATACCTCCAGGCCTTTGTATGTGCTGTTTTCTAGTCTCGTACACCTTTTTTTATCCCCCCACCATCATTTCCCTTCTTCCTCTTCTTTTGACTAACTGCTGGTCAAGAGAAGAAGAGAAAGACTGGCTTTCACAGCCAGTTTTCTGAGATTGTTTAAATTTCCCCTTGAAATGTGTTTCCACAGCACCCAGCTCTCTTCCTATCATGAGACAGATGGAGCTTGGCTATTTATTTATCTCTCCCACTAGTCTATGAGCTTTACACGGATCGAAACCATGCACTTTGGACAAGGAGAGAGTTCAGTTTCTGTGAGCATTTGCCTTAGCCCATCAAACTTGTTCTCTCTAACCTCCCTGAGGGAAGAGCTCTCCAGAATAGAAGAAACCTGTTTGTTTCTCACTTATGTCAGGATAGGTGAGAGTGGGGCAAGCCCAGGATATCAGGACCTTCTTCCATCCTCTCAGAACTCTTGTTTGGTTTTTGTGCCCTGTCATTGGCCTTCCTGAATTTGAACTGTTCTCCTTAAAAATCATTTGACCTACCACCCACAGTTACTCTACCATGCTCCCTGCTGGTGTTAATGAGGTGGAGAAGAATAGATATAACTGCTAAGACATTAAGATTTTTTCATCTCTTAAAGATTTTGTATTTGTAGACATAAATGGGGAAAACCGTACCCACATAGTGCAACAATACTCAGGCCCCAAGATTAGAATTTAACACGTCAAGAGCCATACCTCAACAGAATCCTTGGTAGTCCTTCCTAGAGAACATGTACCATAGGCCAAACCCCAGAGTCTTCCAATAGCACCCTCTTGAAAGCTGTCCTTTGCATATCTTAATGACTATCCCTTGTCTGACTTTTAAGGGTTAGGAGAACATCTTGCTTTTGATTGGAAGGAACTTCCCCACACACACCGTCCCACCATCTCAAACATTAGTATAGAAGCAACAGAAACTTTTATAAAGTACTTAGTCATCTCATTCCTCCTGCACCCAGTAACCATTAAATTTGGATGCTATAACTTGCTCTCAATGTATGCGTGCTGCTTTGTACATAGAAGATACATAATCATTACACAATGAATAAATGGATGATGTTGGCCAGCAGTAAGTGATGGAGTCCATATTCAAACCTGTGTTAGAGTGTATAAAATTATAAGCAGGAGGCATATCTTATAGAAGATGCTTAACAAATATTTGTTGGATGAATGAATGAATAACGCTTAGGCCATAATTTCCAGTAAGGAAATATTCTTAGGAGTCAGCCTGTTCCTCTTGGTATTTCCCCAAAAGTCAAAGTCAATTATCCTTGAAACCTGACTGAACACTGCATCTCTGATTACTCTTGAATATGTTAACAAAAGAAAAAATAAATAAAAGAAGGCCACCTGGGGAAATAAATTTTATGGTGGTATGCTTGAAGAGACAGATTTGATTCAATGTGGCACATCCAGACAGAAATTTAATTTGAAGCAATGGAAAAACACTGTCAATGTCTCAGGATAGTGTGACATGAGCCCAGCCTACTGCTCCTTACCCAAACCCCCACTTCTGGGAAGACATAAAGTCATAAGGAAATCAGAGCTGGGACTCAGTAGAGGCTACTTGGCTCTGTACCTTCGTCTACAATGAAAAGCCACAGATGCAACTCAAGATAAATAAGGTAGGCAGCACATGGCATAAAGGAAAAAACACTGTGCTGTAGATTAACAAACCCAGGTTCAAACCCAGACTCAACAGATTATAAACTCTAAGAACTAGAGACAGTATTTCACCCTTTGGGGCTTTAGTTTTCCCATCCGTAAATAACTACAATAATGCCTAAGGTTGTGGTAAGTAGTAAAGGAGACAGTGATTTACAATGATCAATGCCACATTGTACAAGCTGTGATTATCATTACTATAAAGACAGAGCTCTTGACCACAAGAATGTAAAATCTAATCAGAGAGACAGATCCATGTTTGAAGCTAGAATTCACAAAAATCTATATTCCTAATCCATCTGTTCCTTGAGTGATTTCCAGTTGCTATTTGTTGAGTGCCTACAATTGGTCAGATAATGGGGTAGGCATTGAGAGGATATAATGGCAGGTAGAAGAGACACTATTATTCTCTTCATAGACCTTATAAACTAGGTGGGTACTAACCTGCAGTCACATACAACCTGGATGTTGAGAGCTTCTTAAGATCTCATTTGGGTGCCTCCTATCTCTTTCTTGATTATTTACAATCACTTCTTTTTAACTGCCTGACTTTTGAAGGCATATGAGCTGGTAACAACTGGGAAAACTATTTGGATTTTTTTTTTTTTTTTTTTTTGTACCGAGTGGGATATACAAGCCAAGGGGAAGATAAAAACACACCTAACCACAGAAGGGATATGAAAAGTCTAGGAAGGGAAGAAAAAAAAGGTGCAGAGGTATGGGATGTCACAGTCTGAAAATTTTCATAGACATAAAGGATTAAGTTTAAATGAAGCACCATAATTTTTCCCCAGACTTTCTCTTTAGACTTCAGTTTTAGAAAGGGGACCTCTGCAGAATAAGGTAGGGGTCAATGTGGCCTTCTCTAGAGCCAAGGCTAAAAGGTGAAAGAATTGATAATCTCCTCCTCAGGAAGGTAGGCAAAGGGCTGAAGTTACCATTTCATGAAAGTCATGAAGAACTTTGGGGAGTAGACATATGGGAAAGTTTATGAAATCTGGACACTTTGTTTTTGTTTTTTTTTTCATTTGCTTTTTCATACATACAAAGAGAGAAGAGAAGGAAACACTTCTTTGGGAGAAGCTAAGAAAAAGAGACTGTAAGTAGATGATATTTCACTCTGCAGCCAGAGTGGACTCCAATCAAAAGGCTGGTCAGGGAGTGTTACAAACCCACATGCTTCGAAGGGGCTCCACTGCAGAGGATTGATGATTATATGCTGCTCAAATGCTGACCTGGGCCAAAGAAGGTACCTGGGACTGAGCCTCAGAAAGACCAGTGAGCGTTCAGTGACTATAATTTTAGTTATAAACTAGAAAAAAAGCCATCCTAGGGAAACTCCCTTGTTCCACAGATGAAAATACTAAAACCTAGTGTTATGGACTGAATGTTTATGCCCTCCCAAAATTCCTATGTTGAAATCTAATCCCCAATGTGATAATAAGAGGTGGTGCTTTTGGAAGGTAGGTAGGTCATGAGAGCAGAGTTCTCATGGATGGGATTAGTGTCCATAGAAGAAAAGGACAGAGAGCTAGCTGGCTCTGTTTGCCGCCACAATTAGAAGGCAGCCATCTGTAAACCAGGAAGTTGGCCCTCACCAGACACTGGATCTGTCAGCACCTTGACCTTGGACTTCCCAGCCTCCAGAACTGTGAAAAATAAATGTAAGCTACCTGGCTTATGATATTCTGTTATAGCAACCTGAACTAAGACACCTAGGAAGAAGGGTCACTTTCCACTGACAAGGACTCTCTCCTTTACCAAACTTTAGTCAGGCTCCCCTAGCCCACTTCTTGACTAGGCCTCAATATTGGCCCATATTCTGTCCTGGCAAGGCCTGCATAGCCCAGTTTTTTATTACTACTGATCCTACTAAATCAGTTTCATAATAATCCCTTGACCCTAATATCTGATCTCCCTTGGTGCTTATCCCCTTACTCCAGATATATGATCAACTTTGATATTTGATCAAGTTCATCGCCTGCCTTTGATTTTCTAAGTTCTTGGCCTGCCTTCAACAAGAATTTTGTTAGGTGAGTTCAGCAAGATGGTTCATACACTTGATATCTTCTCTTAGTAACTTTGCATCCATTGACCTGCTCGCTTTGCTTGTTGGCTATAAATCCCTGTCTTTGCTGTATTCAGAGGTGATCATGATCACTTTCCCCTATTGTAATTGTCTTGACATCTCTTGCAATAGTCCTGAATAAAGTCTTTCTTATCATTTTATCCTTGCAGTGTTGGGTCAGGTTTCGAGGATGAAAGTGTCAGAATAAGTTTTTATTTAACACCATATCTAGCAACACTTCAGGGTAAGAACTACAGCCTGAGACTCCACCTGCTATGATTTGAATGTATCCCACAAATTTCATGTGTTGAAAATTTAATCCACAAATTCATATGTTGCTATTTGGAGAATGGGGCCTTAAAGAGGTAATCAGAATTAGATAAGGTCATCAGGGTGTGACCCCCATAATGGGGGCCACTTTATTAGAAGAGGAAGAGAGACCTGAGCTGATATACACATTCTTACCCTCTGCCATGTTATGACACAGCAAGAAGGCTTTTACCAGATGTGGCCCCTTGACCTTGGACTTCCCAGCCTCCAGGACACTAAGAAATAAATTTATTTTCTTTATAAATTACACAGTCTGTATTATAGCAACAGAAAATGGACTAAGATACCACCCCAGGGTTCTCTTCTCCTAATTGCTCAGGTTTATTGGCTCATCTCAGCCCAGAGCCTGGCACAAGTCCTCCCTCATCTGGACCACAGGCAAGCCTCATAGGGGATCTTCCTACTTGAAAAGTTCCCTGTCACAATCCACTCTCTGCAGTTTGGTCAGTGCAATACTTACAGAGCACGCACAGCAGAATAAATTAAAAGCCTGAGGGCAGGCTTCATGAAGAGAGAGGTTGAGCTAACTCAGAGTTTACAAACAGGAGAGCTGATAGCCAGATGCAGCCCTCAGATGTGTTTGGCACACACAGTATTTTTTAAAGAATAAATTAATTGGCAACATGAACAATGGAAATCAACCCGGAGGGCTAGCTAAAAGTCTAAATTTCTTTCCTTGAAAAAGAAAAAAAAAAAAAGAAAATGGCACATTTGGCAGTACTGGGCCAGCATTTCCAAACAGTAACACTCCAGCGCAGTGGAGTAGCTCTTGTTCTCTGAGATGAGGCATGTGCTCTGCAATTTGTCCCAGTCCCTAATATTCCCCTTTGTTTTAAACCCACCCCACTCCACTCTGCTGGTTTAACTGCCTGGACTTTGAAGGCATGATTTTATAACAACTGAGAAACTCCTTGACTCTTTTTGTGCTGCAGAAGAGATGTATACCAAGGGGAAGAGTTGAAATGCACCTAACAACGGAATGAATATGAAAAGGCTAGATAGAGAAGGAAGAAGAGGCCAGAGAAAGGTTCATAAATAGCTAATGGGAAAGTTGGATAAAGGGATAAAGTGTTCTTGCACCCTGTGCAACCCACACCACCTTCCATAAAATCTCTACTACTTATTGTTTCTGTAGTTTGCTGAGAATTATAGAAAAGCTTTGAGAATCAGCCTAACAAGGGCACAACTTAAGAGCAGAGGCTGCCTAAGGGGGCTGGCCCTGCAATCGTCCTGGTCACATTATTCTCCTGCATAACAACATCTATGTCTCTCTTTCCTACTCAACTAAAGACCTTTCAGAACCAGGGACTTCTATTTTTTCTTTGCACCCTCAGTTCCATCACTTTCATGATTAAATCTATGTTTGTTAGACCAGAATATAAGGCCTCCAACATTTAACTTAGTTCTCAATTCTTTTTTCTCTCTACTTCCTCCAAAGCACTGTAAACTCCATCATTACCAAAATGTTTACAGTTCTCCAAATGTGCCTTACTCTTTTATATCCTCATGTCTTCATGCTTGATGTTTCCATTGCCTGCAATATCAAGCAAGTTTAAATTTTTCCGGCAAGCCTCAGCTTAAATATCTTCTTGTCTCTGAATTAATTCCACATTTCTGTTCTTCTAAGGGTGAAATGAGTCATTCAGTCCTCTTTGTGTATATCTCAATTACAGCAACTATTGCACTGTGGAGTGTGGTTACTTCTGTATAGGATTATTATCCCAAAGGTATTCAGAGCAAAAGACAATAGTAAATGTATTTTTCCATAGCTGGGCCCCCACCAGTTAATGTACAACAAGTGGAAAACTGACCCCATCTCTGTGCCTCTCTCTGACCTTTAAACATTATTCTATCTGCTGAATGGATGAGTGTGTGGATGGATGAATGTATACACGGCTCAAGGAATAGAGAAATAATTTCTGGTTTCTTAAGAAAGACTACTCTCCTCTATGCCCAGGTTATCCTGGATCCCACACACTAAGGCTAAAACCCCCTGCACCCAAACTATCTTAGCATCACTGCCATAGCCTGAAGAAGTCCTATACCTTTGCCCCCCAGCCTAGAATCAGTGCTGTTCAAGATGCTACTGTTCTGCCTCCATCATACCTAAGGCTTTGTCTCTGGGTCACAAAATCTCTGTGCAAGAAGCCAAATTAATCCCCCGGCATGATTCTTCAATGTATGCTTTCATATTGGATCTGTAGATGTTCTTTTCCTCCTTGCCTGCCGTTTTTCTTACCATACAGTGAAAGAAAGCCCTCCAAGAGGGTTAAACTCCTTTACCGAGCCAGTTCTCCTTTATCAGCCACTTGGACCATGCTCTGAGTGTTTTTCCTTTCCACAGAACAAATTCAGTGCTTGTCCTCAGGGGGAAAGTGCCTCTCCAGAAAACTCACCCCAATTGCTGTCTTCCCCGCTTAGCTTTCTGCTTCCTTCCCCCCTCCCCAGCCATATCTCATTCAGCAGGTTTGACTCAATTCTTGTGATAATCTTGGATGCTTTTGCCACACACAGGCCTATCTATCTTATTAGATGGGGCTTCTGAAGAGTCGTAACCATCTTTTCTCATCTTTAAGGGGCCTACCATAGCACAGAGCTGGCCAAAAGTAGTCACTTAATAGTTATTTTCTCAGTTAATGACTAAAATAAAACCCAGCATTTAGTCATAGTTATAAATATATTAATGATGCCTATCATGTATTGAGTACTACACAATACATAAATTATGTCATTTAATTCTCCCCCAAACCCTGAGTGGTCATATTTATTTCTATCTTCCAAATTGAGGTTCAGAAAGGATGAGTGGCTTGCCTAAAGACACACCGTTTAAAGTGGTACCCAGCTTATATTTGATTGAAGATCTGACTTCAAAACATTTCCAAAGAATGAATGCAAAAATAGATACATGAATATTTGCATGTGGTGATAAATAAATGGAGTCTAAATATTGCAATGTGAACATGATTGTATCATGTCCACAAATGCCATACAATTGCACAGCCCTGATGATCTGCAGGATCCCAGGGTCTGAGAAGCAAGAAATTCAGGCACCCTTCAGTTTCCAAAGTGTTATTTGGCTGATGAAGAAGACTGAGAAATTAGGGCTAGGGTAGGAGAAAGGGGGAAATGGGGAGAATGTCGGCAGGCTCTTGCTCTGTTCTGTTCATTTCTTCTTTGGCTTAATACAAATTTTCCTTCAATTCAAAAAGAAACACAACAGATACTTCTTTTGCCTCTCCCCCTGCTCTTCCTAAACCATCAAGCTCTTTTCCACAGGCTTACAAAACTATCCAATATCCACTGAAGTGGAAAAAACAAGAGGTTCTCTATGCTTCAAGTCACAAGCTTAGGAGCCTCTCTGGGATGCCTCTTTCAAAGAGAATGCTTGATCTGTCACCTCAGTAATTACACTATCTTTAACAAACTCCCCTGTTGCCTCCAGAAAATCTGGCTGTCTCTGGAAGAGATGACCTGGGGCTGGGAGAGCCTCACCTTACTGTCTCAGGTGTGTGGAGACACATAACCCTCTTCCATAAGTAGATTTTACTTCTACTCCCAAGATGATGGCTGGAAGGAGTGTTAAGCCTTCCTACTCAGCACACCGTGAAGTCCTCACCAAAGAGCTGGCGTTAGGGGTGTGGAGGTAGCTGAGTAGTGTGAGGCAGCCAGCAGAAGATGTGCTCTCTCACTCCAGGACTTCCACACTTCCCTCAGAAGCTCTCTGGTATCAGAAGCTCTCAAACATGCTACTCTCTCATACCCAAAATATGCTCCCCTGGACTCTTCACCTAGGGACTCTAACCCACATTAATGGTCTCAATCAGAATATCACCCTTCAGATTTTGTGCAAATAGTGAAGTGGTTAAGAGGATGAGCACTGGAATCCCTATATTTGGATTTGTACCCACAGCTACCACCTACTAGCTATGGACTTTGAGCAAGTTACTTGGTCCCTCTGTGCTTTGGTGTCCTTTTTTAACATTAAATAGGAAGATAATCTTGTGATCATTAAATATGTTATAACTCACACAGAACAGTCTTGACATATAATAAAAATTCCATCATTATCAATGATTAATATTAGGATTCTCCTTTTTTAAACTCTTAGCACTTAGAGTTATATGTTCACTATCTGCATTTGCCCCTAGACTTCAACATCCAAGAGGTTCAGGAAGTGTGTCTGTCTTGTTTGCTGCTGAATTATAAGTGCTTATCATGGTACATCGAAGACGGAATATAGTTTGAATAATGAGTGAATCAATCAATGAATTAAAAATCTTCAGCAAATGCTGAAGACCCCTCTGAGAATATCCATTATATCTATCTTTTTTTACATCCCCAGGGCCTAGCACAATCTCAGGCTTCTAATGAATAAGTGCATACTTTTTGGATGAGCAAATGATGCTTTTCCGGAAAGGTGAAGAATAGTAGAAATAGGAAATGCAATTGTCAAACATGCAAAAATGCCAGAAAATGTTTATTCTTGCAATCTCTTAACATTCCATTAAAATCATCTGTGATAAAGGTGCTTGCCATTTAGCAGCGTATGAAAACACAGAAAAGAAGCAAAGTGTGGCTGCCAAGTGATATGCTCCAGACAGGTTAGGCCAGATAAGTAGTGAGGGAGAAAGCAAAAACAAAGTCATCACCCCTTTGAATTTCTGAAGAAGTCTGACTTCTGCTTCTGCCCTGTATGCTGATCTGCATGAAGGCTCTGCTTCCCAGAATCTCAGGAACCAGATTAATGGAGGTTCTGCCATGTTATGCTGTTGCCATCTCAACACAAGACTTCAGGGTTTATAGCAAGGGAAGGAGCATGGAGATCACATCCCAGCTCAGGGAAAGCAACAAAGAGCCTTGAACCATTTGGTCTCTGGTCTGTGTCGGTACCAATGAACTGAATCTGAATCTTTTACATGCTTGCTAGAAGGCAAAAGTCTTTGGAAGTAGAGTGGGAGTGAAAATGCATTACCTTACTATCTGGTAGCATAAATTTTCTTAAGAAGGAAACTTTTTTTTTTTTTTTTCCAGGAAAATGCCTTAGTTTCTTGGGGCAGAAAGTGGGACTCTGAAATCATGAGTGTTAGCAAGAGCTCCAGCAACAAAGAAAAAACAAGTCATTCTGCTTGAGATAAAACAGAAGGACATAAAGGGAGGGACACTTTTTTTCCCTAGGAAGGGAAATTTGGTTAAGAGAATGAAGGAACAGAGAAAAGAGGAGGGAGGGAAGAACCAGCGGTATTGCCTGAAGCTGACATGCTATGTCAACTGAGTGGCAGGTGAAAGGAATCCCTGCTGATTTGGAGGCTAAACTACTTTTATGAGCAGAGCTGGCAGATATGCAATTTGAAGTGATGTGCCTGAGAAAGCAGCCTTGATCGAGCTTTCCATTCTTACACAAGTCTTTGTTAAAGTCAACCAACACAAATACAGTTTTAATATGAGCCTATTGTGTGTGAGTGAATATGTGTATGGGAGGCTGAGTTTCCGATCTAGGTTGGCCATGTAGAAACTGAAACACCATGTACTAGGGGGTGAGATATCTCATAAAGTGAGGAATCCAGAAACTAATGCTGGAGGCAGCCATGAGAAATGTAAGCCCCTGGGAATCATCAAAAATACAGGATAAAACCTTGAACTTCTGGTGACTAGGATGAAGGCCAAAACATCTTTTTTAAACAACAAGAGGTGGGAAGACCCTGTCTGGCATCTGGGACACATACAAATTAAACACTCATAAATACATTTCTCTAGCTAGGCTGGAGAAATTCTCCTGATTGATATACTGAAATATGTTTTCCAAGTTGGTTCCATTCTCCCCATCTCTTTCAGGGACACCAATGAGTTTTAGGTTTGATCTCTTTATGTAATTCCATCTTTCTTGGAGATCTTGTCATTCCTTTTCATTCTTTTTCCTCTATTCTTGTCTGACTGTCTTATTTCAGGAAGCCAGTCTTCAAGCTCTGAGATTCTTTCCTCTGCTTGGTCTATTCTGCTTTGATACTTGTAATTGCATTATAAAACATTCAAATCCAGGAAATGCAGAGAACTCTATTAAGATACCTCATGAGATCATCCCCAAAACACATAATCATCCAATTCTCCCAAGTCAAAATGAAAGAAAAAAATGTTAAAGGCAGCTAAAGAGAAAGGTCAAGTCACCTAGAAAGGGAAGCCCATCAGACTAACAGCAGACTCTCAGCAGAAGCCCTGCAAGCCAAAAGAGATTGGGGGGCAATATTCAACATGCCTAAAGAAAATAAATTCTAATCCAGAATTTCATATCCAGCCAAATTCAACTTCATAAGCAAAGCAGAAATAAGACTCTTTTCATATAAGTACATGTGAGGAATTTGTTCCACCTACCTGCCTTACAAGAGAGCTCCTTAAGGAAGCATCAATATGAAAAGCAAAGACCATTACCAGTCACTACAAAAACACAGTGAAGTACACAGACCAGTGACACTACAAAGTAACCACATCAACAAGTCTGGAAAATAACCAGCTAACATCATGAGGACAGGACCAAATCCACATATATCAATACTAACCTTTAATGTAAATGTCCTAAATTCCCCAAAAGACACAGAATGGCAAGCAGCATAAAGAACCAAGGCCCATTGGTATGCTGCCTTCAAGAGACCCATCTCACATGCAATGACACACATAGGCTCAAAATAAAGGAATGGAAAAAATATACCAAGTAAATGCAAAACAAAAAAGCAAGGGTTGTAATCCTAGTTTCGGACAAAAGACTTTAAACCAACAAAGATCAAAAAAGACAAGGAAGGGCATATATAACAGTAAAAGTTTCAATTCAACAAGAAGATCTAACTATTCTAAATATATATGTACCCATCACAGAAGCACCCAGATTCATAAAGCAAGTTCTCAGAGACCTTCAAGGAAAGTTAGAGTCCCACACAATAATAGCGGGAGACTTTAGAACCTCACTGACAATATTAGACAGATAATTGAGACAGATGATTAACAAAGATATTCGGGACCTGAATTCAGCACTGGATCAAATGAACCTCATGGCTAATTATAGAAATCTCCACCCCACAACAATAGAATATACTTTCTGCTCATTGCCACATGGCACACACTCTAAAATTGATCACATAATTGGAAGTAAAACACTCCTCAGCAAGTGCAAGGAAACTGAAATCATAACAATCTCTCAGACCAAATGCAATCAAATTAGAAATCAAGACTAAGAAATTCACTCAAAACCATATAATTACACAGAAATTGAGTAATTTGCTCCTGAATGACTTTGGGGTAAATAATGAAATTAAGGCAGGAATCAAGAAGTTCTTTGAAAATAATGAGAACAAAGATACAACATACCAGAGTCTCTAAGACAAAGCTAAGGCAGTGTTAACAGGGAAATTTATAGCACCAAATGCCCACATCAAAAATTTAGAAAGATCTCAAGTTAACAACCTGACATCAGAACGGAAACAAGAGAACCAGGAGCAAACAAATCCCAAAGCTGGCAGAAGACAAGAAATAACCAAAATCAGAGCTGAACTGAAGGAGACTGAGACATGAAAAACCATTCAAACGATCAATAAATCCTGGAGCTAGCTTTTTGAAACAATTAATAAAACAGGCCAATAGTTAGATTAACAAACAAGGAAAAAGAGAAGATTCAAATAAACATGATCAGAAATGACAAGGGGGATACTACTACTGACCCCACAGAAATATAAATGACCATCAGATAATATTATGAACACCACACCTCTATGCTCATAAACTAGAAAATCTAGAAGAAATAGATATATTCATGGAAACATACACCCTCCCGAGAGTGAATCAGGAAGAAACTGAATCCCTTAACAGATCAATAATGAGCACTGAAATTGAGTCAGTAAGAAATAGCCCACTAACCAACAACATACCAGGACCAGATGGATTCACAGCTGAATTCTACCAGATGTACAAAGAGCTGGTACCATTCCTCTTGAAACTACTCCAAAAAATTGAGGAGGAGAGACCTCTCCCTAACTCATTCTTTGAGGCTAGCATCATCCTGATACCAAAAGCTGGCAGAGACACAACAAAAAAAAACAACTCTGGGCCAGTATCTTTGATGAACATTGAGGCAAAAATCCTTAACAAGATAGTAGCAAACCAAATCCAGCAGCATATCAAAAAGTTTATCCACCACGATCAAGTAGGCTGTATTCCTGGGATGCAAGGTTGGTTCAACATATGCAAATCAATAAATGTGATTCATCACATAAACATAACTAAAGGCAAAATCACAGGATTATATCAATAGACACAGGAAAAGCATTTGATAAAATTCAGCACCCCTTCATGTTAGAGGCTTTCAAGAAACTAGATACTGAAGGATCATACCTCAGAATAATAAAAGTCATCTGTGACAAACCCACAGCCAATATCATACTAAATGGGAAAAAAATGGAAGCATTCCCCTTGAAAACTGGCACAAGACAAGGATGCCCTCTCTTGCCACTCTTATTCAACATAGTATTGGAAGTTTTGGCCAGGGCAATCAGAGAAGAAGAAATAAGTACATCCAAATAGGTAGAAAGGAAGTCAAACTCTACCTGTTTGCAGATGACATGATCTTATATCTCAGCCTCAAAACTCAAGCTGATAAACAAATTCAGCAAAGTCTCAGGATATAAAATCGGTGTGCAACAATCACTAACATCCCTATACACCAACAACAGTCACACCAAGAGCCAAATAAGACATGCAATCCCATTCACAATTGCCACAAAAATAAAATACAATAAAATACCTAGGAATACAGCTAACCAGGGAGGTGAAAGATCTCTACAAGGAGAACTACAAAACACTGCTCAAACAAATCAGAGGTGACACAAACAAATGGAAAACAGTTCATGCTCATGAATAAGAAGAATCAATATTGTAAAAATGCCCATACTGCCCAAAACAATTTAGAGATTCAATACCATTCCTATTAAACTGCCATTGATATTCTTCACAGAATACAATTGATATTCTTCACAGAATAGTTATTTAAAAAATAACTATTTTAAAATTCATATGAAACCAAACAGAGCCCAAATAACCAAGGCAATCCTAAGCAAAAAAAAAAAAAAAAAAAAAAAAAATGCTGGAGGCATCACACTACCCAACTCCAAACTCTATTACAGGACTACCATAACCAAAACACCATGTTACCGGTACAAAAACAGACCTATAGACCAATGGAACAATTAAGGCTGTACACCTACAACTGTCGGATATTCAACAAACCTGACAAAAACAAGCAATAGGGGAAGGATTCTCTATTCAATAAATGGTACTGGGATAACTGGCTATTTGCAGAAGTTTGAAACTGGACTCCATCCTTACAACCATATATAAAAATCAATTCAAGATGGATTACAGACTTAAATGTAGAATGCAAAACTATAAAAACCCTAGAAGACAACCTAGACAATATCATTCTGGACATAAGAATGGGCAAATATTTCATGACAAAGTCATCAAAAGCAATGGCAACAAGAGCAAAAATTGACAAATGGGATTTAATTAAACTAAAGAGCCTCTGCAAAGCAAAGGAAACTATCAATAGGGTAAATAGACAACCTACAGAATGCGAGAAAATTTTTGGAAACTATCCATCTGACAAAGGTCTAATCTCCAGCATCTATAAGAAACAAACAACAAACAATGCCATTAAATAGTGGGCAAAGGACATTAACAGACATTTTTCAAAGGTATACATACATGCAGCCAACAATCATATGAAAAAAAGCTCAACGTCACTGATCATTAGAGAAATGCAAATCAATACCATAATGAAATACCATCTCATACCAGTCAAAATCCAAAGAAGTAAAAAAATAACAGATGCTGATGAGGTTGCAGAGAAAGAGGAATGCTTACACTGTTGGTGGGAGTGTAAATTAGTTCTCCCATAGTGGAAGATAGTATGGCAATTCCTCAAAGACCTAAGAACAAAAATACCATTAGACCGAGCAATCCCATTACTAGGTATACACCCAAAAGAATATAAATTGTTCTATTATAAAGATATATGCACATTATGTTTATTGCAGCACTGTTCACAATAGCAAAGTCATGGAATCAACCTAAATGCCCATCAGTGGTAGAATGGATAAAGAAAATGTGGTACATACACATATACATCATGGAATATTATGCAGCCACAAAAAAGAATGATATCATGTCCTTTGCAGGAACATGGATAGATATGGGGGCCATTATCCTTAGCAAACTAACGCAGGAACAGAAAACCAAATACTGCATGTACTCATAAGTGGGAGTTAAATGATGAGAACACATGAACACATAAAGGGAAACAACACACGCTGGGGCTTATCAGAGGGTGGAGTGTGGGAGAAGGGAGAGGACCAGTAAAAATTACTAATGGGTACTAGGATTAATACCTGAGTGATGAAATAATCTGTACAACAAAACCCCATGACACAAGTTTACCTATGTAGCAAATCTGTACTTGTACCCTGAACCTAAAAGTTAAAAAATTCTCTGCTCTAATGTCTTGCATTATAAAACTGCATAAAAATAAAAAGATTCATGGGAAGAGTGAGATTGGGGAAGACCATTCAAAACTGTAACTAGAGCACTCAAAAACACAGTAACAGTTCTAATACAAATACTAACAGAGTTAACTTTCCACAAGCAAATTTATTTAGACCACAGTCAATCCTCAGTGGCTTTACACCTTGGTTCCTATGAATCCTTTGATTATCAATTTCATCAAAATTAAAATACAACCCAGGATGTAGCCTTCTTCCTAAATCCATTGATTTAATACAAGGAAAATACCCTTGCAGATCCTCTAGAAACTGAATATTGGGAAAGCACCATTGTTCTTAAAGCCTTCAAGCTAGCCATTACGTGTGCATTTTGTCTTCTGTTTTAGGATCTTCTTTAATTATGGGAAAACATGCTCCTGATGACATCAAAGCAACAATGTGCTGGAGAAAATTGTGAATGAACTAATATGACTCCCACATTACACAGATGTTACACCCATCACACATGAGGTGATTCATGTCAATGAAACAAGTTGTGGCAGAAGAAATTACGCTACTTCCCTCCTTCTCTCCATCCCATCTTTGGCTTGGAGGAAGATGGATAGTTCAGAGCATCTTGCAACTCATCGATTTACCTATCTGGAGCCCTGCTTACTGCAGGGAGCATCTTTGGCAACTGAGGTGCAGTGATCTTAGGCAGAAATCCAAACAAACCATGAAAGTTACGGAAAGACTCTTGTTAGAGCCTCTAGCTCTTAAATACTCTTTTACTCTTTAAAGAGTGAGTTTTGTCTTAGAAATTTAATTATATTTTCAGAAACTTTTGTCATATGTTCATATTGACAGTCTTTCACTTATTCATTTTTTCATTAATATATATTAAGTGCCTGCTGTGTTGAGGATACAGGACCTGAATACATATTAATATATTTTTTTCTAGGCTCTCTCCCTCTCTAAATTTTGAAATCATTTAAATTAAATGCTCATCTCTATCTTCCTGGTCTAAATCAAGGTTTGGAATAGAACAAGTCCCCACAAATCCTGTTGAATGAATAAAACTATACCTTACTTACTCAGCAGTTAAAAGCACATGCTGTGGATCCAGAAAGAGCCAAGTGAGAACCCCTGCTCTTCCACACAGCTATAACCTCAGACGTTTTATTTCACTAGCCCTAGTTTCCTTATATGTGAAATGGGAGCAATAATAACTATTGTAACCATCAAATGAAATAATGTGTTAAACATCAGCTCCATGCATGGAACAATTCATGTGCTTAATAAATGTTATAGTTATTTTCATTTATTTATTTTTTAAGACAGAGTCTCGCTCGATCACCCAGGCTGGAGTGCAGTGGCACGATCCTGGCTCACTGCAACCTCTGCCTCCCGGGTTCAAGCGATTCTCCTGCCTGAGCCTCCCAAGTAGCTGGGGCTACAGGCACCCACCACCACACCCGGCTCATTTTTGTATTTTTAGCAGAGGCGGGGTTTCACCGTGTTGGCCAGGTTGGTCTTCAACTCCTGACCTCAGGTGATCTGCCTGCCTCTGCCTCCCAAAGTGCTGGCATTACAGATGTGAACCACCGTGCCCAGCCTGTTACTGTTATTATAATTAGTATATTAATAAGTCATATATCTTGATTTCAACTTATATATACATAGATTTAAGTGACCCTAGACGTGATCTCAGTAAGCTTTTTCCAGATGAGGGACACTGACTGAGCGATATAGGTTGCTTTGCTCAAGGTGGATTTAATAAAGTCAGTTTAATAAGTGACAGCACCATGACTAAATGAGTGATGTAAACCCTAGTCTTTCTGTTGCTGTCAGCCCTTTTCTGATTCTGTTATTACCTCTCACTTACATCCAGTGTTTGTAGAAAAGAAATAGGAGCTACACTTACTCTGCTCTCTCATGTGTGTTACTGGTATTACCTCGGAGCCTTGCGGTACCCCCTGAAAAAGATACGCCAAATATTAACTCCATGAAGTAGTAAGGGTTTTTTTTAATTGCAAGTAATGGAAGACTCCACATAAACTAGATTAAACACTAGAGGAGATTGTTAGCTCCCGTGATAAGAAAGACTGAAATAAGGCAGGCTTCAGTGTGGGCTAATCCAGTAACCCGGTATCAAGAGTGTTGTTTGTTTACATGTCTCAGCTCTACTCCTCAGTGTTAGCTGCATTCCACGGCTGGCCCTCATCATGGCCACAGAATCATGATGTGCAGCAATCTTAAGTCCAATGGAAAGCAAGTCCCATCTCACAATAATCAAACATCGTGAACTTTGTGATGATTGGGTCACCTCCAAACCAAGGTAACCAAGGAACTGCTATGTGCCAATTGGCTTACAGCTATGATATTCTTAACCAATCACTGTGAAAAGCAAAATGGAATTAACATGATCGGCCTGGACCAATCAGGACCTACTCTATCCCTATGCACAGATGGCTGTTACACAGTGGGAAAGAGGTAGAAGGAAGAGCTGATGGACTACACCCCAGTTTACCAATGAGGAAAAAGAGACTCAGGGCTGGGCGCGGTGGCTCACGCCTGTAATCCCAGCACTTTGGGAGGCTGAGGCGGGTGGATCACGAGGTCAGGAGATCAAGACCATCCTGGCTAACACGGTGAAACCCCATCTCTACTAAAAATACAAAAAAATTAGCCAGGCATAGTGGCAGGCACCTGTAGTCCCAGTTACTCGGGAGGCTGAGGCAGGAGAATGGCGTGAACCTAGGAGGCGGAGCTTGCAGTGAGCCAAGATTGCGCCACTGCACTCCAGCCTGGGCGACAGAGCAAGACTCTGTCTCCAAAAAAAAAAAAAAAAAAAGACTCAGAAGACTAACAGGAAGCTGGTCATGTCAGAGCTGAATTTAGAGTATGGGTTTCCTTAATGCTCATGTCAGTGTGTTTTTTTCTGCTATCTGCTCACTTCTGTGAGAGATGAATCAATTTATTATTGATTCAATCTTTGCTCTCTAGAGGGATGGGTAGTGGGTGTCAGAGCAGAGCAGGGATACTTTGACAAAAGGCATGCTTTACTCATTGCCTCACTACTTGCTTTGTACTGCCTCTATGTTATTGTCTGCAAAGAATTAGAATGAGTTCTGGGGGGACTTCAGAAGTCAGAGGGCTCCTAGGTCACCAGGCAGATCACATAGGAGCAAATAGACTAGAAGGAAGGTCAACTAGAAGGTCAATACTGTCTAGCAGTTACCTCTCCATTTACCCTGCCCTAAAGCCCATCCCACCATGACAGCCAAGAGATACTTATCCCACTGAATTGTTCAATGGCTCCAATTTGGTTAGCGTTTACTTCTCTTTCCACCCAGGTGGAAAGAATGACAGCACTACTAGGACACCACGCTTTTGAAAATTTGTCCCAAAGAGTAAATAGAGCCCATGACTGGCAGGAGGCTGAGCACCAATTTGGAGATAACTTTTCCTTTTAAACTCAAGAAAGTGCTATAGGAGGTAGGTCCATTTTGAATAAAAGGAGCTGTGTTCATATCCTGTTATATAAGACTTCCTTGTCCTGAATTCTTCTCCACTGGCATGCTCATTAAACCTGTAGCCAAATTTCTTTTTTAAAAAACCTTTGATTCCTCACCACCCTCAAGTGATTTCACTATTCTCTCCTTCTCACCCAAATTCTCAAAAATACTACCTACATTTTTTAATTTCCTCAACTACCTTAATCCTTGTATATTGTAATACAATATAATTCACAAACATTATCTATTTAAACTAGACAATTCAATGGCTTTTAATAGGCACACAGTTTGACATTTCCTCACCCCAGAAAGAATCCCATACCCCTTAGCCATCATTATCAATCCCTTCATTAACTCTTCTTAAGACTCTTATTAAGAAATATGACATAGGTACAAAGAAGTGACTTAATATACATGTAAAGTTTAAAGAATAAAAATAAATGAAAATAAGTACTTGTTGAATAAAGAACTGATGAATAAAAGACAGTTAAGAAAAAAAACAAGTATAATGAAAATAAAACAAACTTCATGCACTCACTCCCCAGACTGAAAAGTTGAATATTGCTAATGTTTTCCTCCTAGAGGGACCAAACGTCCTGAATTTTTAAAAATCAATTTGGTTGCTTTTCTTGATAATTTTACAAGAAATGCATAGGTTCTTAAACTATGTATTATTTAGTTTTGCCTGTTTTTGAAAGTTGAATAAATGACATCGACTTGACCATATTCTTCAGCAACTTTTTTTCCCCCTCAACACTATGGTTTTTAGATTTCTCCATGTTGGTGCTTGTAGCTGTAGTTATTTTCACTGCTTATTTATGTTGTATGAGTGAAGCACAATTTATTTATCCATTTTATAGTAGGCAGGCATTTGAGCTATTATTTTTGCAATTTTAAAATCAATGCTGAAATGAGCATTCTCTACATGCCTCTTAGTACTCATAAATATGCATTTACGTAGAGCATCCTCCTAGCTGTAGAGTGCTGAGTAGTGGGGCACACACATGTTCAACTCTGCTAAGTAGTGACCAGTTGTTCATCAAAGCAGTTCCAATTTTCCCTCCCTCTATAACTTTAATAAGAATTCCCATTGTTTTTTTAAGTTCTAGGATACATGTGCTGAATGTGCAGGTTTGTTAGTAGGTATACATGGGCCATGGTGGTTTGCTACACCTATCAACCTGTCATCTAGGTTTTAAGCCCCTCATGCATTATGTATTTGTCCTAATGCTCTCCCTCCCCTTTCCCCCCACCCACTGACAGGTCCCAGTGTGTGATGTTCCCCTTTCTGTGTCCATGTATTCTTATTGCTGAACTCCCACTTATGAGACCATACAGTCTTTGGTTTTCTGTTCCTGTGTTAGTTTGCTGAGGATGATGGTTTCTAGCTTCATCCATGTCCCTGCAAGGACATGAACTCATTCTGTTATGGCTGCATACTATTTCATGGTGTGTATGTGCCACATTTTCTTTATCCAGTCTATCATTGATGGGCATTTGGGTTGGTTCCAAGTCTTTGCTATTGTAAATAGTGCTGTAATAAACATACATGTGCATGTGTCTTTATAGTAGAATTATTTATAATCTTTAGGTACTAATGGGATTGCCGGGTCAAATGGTATTTCTGGTTCTAGATCCTTGAGGAATATCAACACTGTCTTCCACAACGGTTGAACTAGTTTACACTCCCACCAACAGCATAAAAGTGTTCCTATTTCTCCACATCCTCACCAGCAGCTTTGCACATCTTTGTTATTGTAAATTTTTTCCATTTAAAATATTTATTTTGCCTTTTGCTGGTTATTAATGATGTTAAGAAATTTTTGTCATGTGTTTATTGGTCAGTCATATTCTATGTTCTGCTAAGAGCCTGATTTTGTCTTTTGCCCCCTTTCTATATTGTGGTTTGCCTTTTTGTATTGTTTCACAGGCATTCACTATACACTTTAGATTTTTCCATACGGATCACCAATTCCTAAAATCTATTGGACAATAGGCCATTGTTTCCTTCTATCTGAAACATCAGCTCCGTTATATCAAGATTCCAGGTAGGTGAAAGGTTTGCTCATTAGCACTTTATTATGTTCTCTTGAAGTATTTGTAACAGATTACTAATTACTAGTTTTATAATGAGCCTTGATATTTGGCAGGATGAGTTACTCTGCCTGATACTCTGTCTTTGGGAGTACCTTTACCATTAGTTGGCCCTTGATTCTCCCTCGTAATTATTAGAATCAGTTTATCAAATTCTACAAAAAAACTTGAGATATTATTGGATTTTGGTGCGTTTAGAGATAAATTTGGAAAAAATTGACACATTTATGGCATTGAGTTTTCCTGCCCTTTGGTAGAGTATCTCTTTCCTAGTATATGAATACTCTTTAATGACTTCATAGAATGTTTTATACTTTTCAGCATAAAATTCTTGGACAGTTTCACTTAGGTGTAATTATTTTAATTTTGTGTGAATGTTATTTGTTACGCGTTTTTTACTAGATTGCTGCTAATGTTTAGGCATGAAATTAGCTCATATATTGATCTTTTATCTGGCAAATTTGCTAAACTGTCTTATGCCTTATAATAATTTTATGTATAATTTTCGACAATTTTTATGTAGAAAAACATATTTAAATGACACTTTGATGCTTGATTTTCAATGCATTTATCTTTTATTTATCTTATTTTTGCTGACCACAAGTTTCCAATAAAATGATAAAAGTAACCGGTGATAGCTCTCATTCTGGTCTTCTTCTGATTGTAAAGGGAATTCATTAAATATTTTATGATTGAGTATGATGTTTGCTGCGGGGCTTTTGTGTATAGATGGAATATATTTTCAGTTTCAAGTCTGGTAAAAGTTTTAATTTTATCATGAATGTGTGAAATTTCAAAAAATTCATTTTTGCATCTATTGAGGTGATCATTTATTAATAACTTTCCTTTGGCTTGAAATGTAGTGGCTATAATATTTCTAATTTTGAATCCACCAGGCATCCCTGGAAGAAACTCAACTTGGTCATATTATCATTTCATCTTTTGCTAGATTTGGAGTGTGCATCTGTAGGTCTGTGTGTGTGTGTGTGTGTGTGTGTGTGTGTGTGTGTATGTGCAGGAGTAAGTCTGCTCTGAAATCTTCTGTTACAATTACATCATGGTATAGTTTGGGTGTCCAGGTTATGGAAGGCTTAAAAATGAGTTGGGAATTTACTTATTTACTTTAAAAATAAATTTTATTTTAAATTTACATACAGTAAGATTTATTCTTTTGATGCTCATTTTGCATTATTTTTCTATTTCAGCCATATGAAGAGTTGTTTAATAGAATCTCAGCTCATGACTAATGATGCTGAGTATATTTCCATATGCCATCTGTTTCAATCTTTTTTTTTTTTTTTTTTTTTTTAGACGGAGTCTCGATCTGTCACCCAGGCTGGAGTGCAGTGGCGCGATCTTGGCTCACTGCAAGCTCCGCCTCCTGGGCTCACGCCATTCTCCTGCCTCAGCCTCCCAAGTAGCTGGGACTACAGGTGCCCGCCACCACGCCTGGTTAATTTTTGTATTTTTAGTAGAGACGGTGTTTCACCGTGTTAGCCAGGATGGTCTCGATCTCCTGACCTCGTGATCCGCCCACCTCAGCCTCCCAAAGTGCTGGGATTACAGGCGTGAGCCACCATGCCCAGCCTGTTTCAATCTTTCTTTTTTTTTTTTCAAATTGGGTTGGGTTTTTAATACTTGAGTTTTAAAAGTTCTTTCTCTACATATTCTTGATACAAATCCTTTATCAGATATATGATTTACAAATATTTTCTTATCATTACAGGTACTGGTCATTCTTCAAATTTTCACTTCCTTCCCCAAGTGGCCTTAATTATCCTCTGATTACTCAGCTAGTTGATTAAGGTGGGGGTGGGGTTCAGAGTTTTTAGTTGTAATTATTGGAGAAGATGGGCTATAGGAAACTAATTCCGTCTTAGCATGCACCAAAAGTCAGCCATTTCTTATTCTTTAAAAGCTTGAATACTCAGTCTCTTTATGTTTTGTAAAATTCACAGGCAAGACCACTTGAGCACCTGTGGGTAGATTTTAAGAATTTTTAAAAATAGCCATAAAACTAGTTGACCCTTAAACAAGACAAGGGTTAAGGGTACTGACCCTCACACAGTTGGTTATCCACATGGAACTTTAAAATCCCCAATAACTTAACAATAATCTACTGTTCACTGGAAGCCTTGCCAATGAAATAAACAGTCAACACATATTCTGTATATTTTATACTGCATTCTTATAATAAAGCTAGAGAAATTATTAAAAATCATAAAGAAAATATATTTCTTATGCATTAATTGGAAGTGGATCATCATAAAGGTCTTCATCCTCATTGCCTTCACATTGAGTAGGCTGAGGAGAAGAAGGAAGAGAAATAACTAGTCTTCCTGTCTCAGGAGTGAGAGAGATGGGAAAAATATCACATATAAGTGGTTACATGCAGCTCAATCCCACGTTGTTCGAGGGTCAACTACTATTCAGTTTTTCTATCTCTCGTTCAGTTGGTTTGGTAATATACAGTTTTCTGGGAATGTGTGACCACTTAGGTTTTAAAGTTAATTAGTATAAAGTTATAATATTCTTTTAATTATTCTTTTATTTTTAGTTATGGCTTTTTCTTACAATATTATTTATTTTTGCCTCCCTTTCTTGCGGGGAAAGAGGTAGGGCAATCTTGCCAGAGGTTGGCAATTACATTATCGTTTACAGAGAACAACGCTGTCTTCTTTATTGTACATTTGCATTCTATTTCATCTCTTTCTGCACTATTATTTTCTTCCTTCTACTTTCTTTGGGTTTTGCACTTATCGTATTTGTAACTACTTTAGTTGGATACTTATTTCCTTTATTTTCATCCAGTCAGGACTGTAAGCAGTAAAAGTTAAGCTTTCTCTCTATTCTACTATTTTAGTTTTATCCCACAAGTATAGGTTTGTTGTTAGAAATTTTCAGAATAGACTCCTGTATTTCTATTAGTCTAGTGTTTCTAACAGCTTGTGGAAAACTACTACCCTTGGGGAAAATTAGCCCTTTTTTTTTTTTTTTTTTTTTTTTGAGGAATCCCTAGCTCCGCATCCATTGGCCCTGCATGACCACCACATGCCCTACTGGCTTCTCCTTCCCCCAGGAGAGTCTATCTGTGTGTACCATGCCTGACTCTCTGCCTGCCTCCAGAATGGCAGGCTCTTGGGGAATAAATGTCTGGCAACTGTCAGCTCACCTAGAAAATACTCTTCTATCTCTGGAGTTTTAATTCATCTTCTCCCTTTTTGCTTTCACAGGTTTCATAGGTCTTTAAAAATGTAATTTTTCAATTCATCAAATTTTTTTCTAGTTGATACAATGGGACTGTTAGCCTGCTATGATCTCCTACATACTACTTAGAAGTGAAAGTCCTCTTTGGAAGTTTTTAAACTATTTCCTAACTGCTCATGACTCATAAATTTATATCTCGAGTTCTGAGCTCTCCCATGAGGTTTGAACTGATATATTCAACTGCCCTGAGATTCATCCACCTGAATGTCCTAGTTATAGTTCTAACTCAGAATATCCAAAATTGAACTCTCCATGTCCTTCCTCCCATACTAGCTCAGTCCTCCTGTGTTTCTGCCTAAGTTGGTGGTATCACCATCTCTCCAGTCATCCAACCTGGAACATTCTCCATACCACACAGATCTAATGTTAACTGTGCTTTGCTTACATTATATCTGTAACCACCATGCTTGTTTAATAGATAAAAACTGGCTTAAGATGAGCCCATCAAAATTATTCCCTGAGAATTTTATTCCTAAACCTGGAATAAGAGAGTCTTTTCCATCCAGAAAGATATGTGCCTGCAGTTATTAGAGACCATGGCTCCTGTCTCATGGATAAAGCAGACCTGGAAGAGTGACACTAACGTAGAGTAGCAGGTATGAGAGAGCAAGAATGAGACAAGGCAAGAGAGAGAAGATCTTATGGACATGTATGGCCATCGTTCTAGTCATCCATGTTCTTCCCTAGGCTCAGAAATTTTTTTAACCTCAGCTAGTACAAGTCAAGTTTCTGTTGTATAACACCAATAGATCTCTGAACTAAGAAGTGAATGGGCAGATGTTTGGTTTACAGCAGGGCATAAAGCTATTAAAGAATAGAAAGAAGAATATCTCTAGAAGCTCATTATTAAGTGGGGGCAGAAAAATATGACACAAACTAAAAATGATTATCATGTAAATGTTACTCCCTGGTAAGTACTGCATGTGTTAGAGAGAGGAGACGGGTGCACTTCTGGATGGGGTCATCTATGAAGGCTTCATGGAGGACAGAAAGAAACAACATCACAGGAGGCAGGAATGCAGGTAGACAATAATAATAGCCAACGTTAGTTGAGCACTCATTATGTACCTGCCACTGTTCTTAGTGCCTTCGGTGTACGAACCATTTAAATCCTTAAAAGAACCTTACGAGATATGTACTAATATTCTCTCCATAATACAGATGAGAAAGTGAGGCAGAAAGAGATTAAGTAGTGGCCAAGATGCTGCAAGAAATACACACCAGGGCCTAGAGAAAGACACAGACAGGCTGGCTCTTCTCCCAGCCGCCAATGGCCAATCAGGCACTGCAGCTGAAGAACTTCATGCAAATGTGTCATCACGGTGCAACTTCATGGTAACAAACATTTCCATTTGTTGGGAGTCAAGGTTCCTGAGGAAAAGAAGTCGAAGGTAAAGTGAAAAACTAGCTTGTAGGTCATATCCTTAACACTCTTCAATGCCACATGATTCTGAGCCGATTCTCCTTTTCCTGAGGTCAGTTTAGTAAATCATGATCAAGCTTCAATGCAGACATCAGTCTTCGGAGCCACTGTGCACAACTGTTAAAGTTGTTTACTGCACATGGGCACCTGGCTTCAGGGACCAGTGGGACCAAAATCAAGCCCATGCACCTTTGCAAACTGGAGGTCTTCCACAGGTTGTATCCATCTGGAGGTTGAGCCTTTTTATGATTTGTGCAATGTACTATCTTAACTAGCAGCAGCCTATCGTTCTTTCTGCAATGTTGTTTGCTGTTAAGAAACTGGAAGGCCTTTCACAGAGACCTTATTGAGGGCATCCCCAGTGCCAGGCCAAAACCGGATGTTTAAATGCTTCTACTGTTCTCATTCTTACACTATTCAGCGCAGCAGTTACAATATCCCCATTACAGAGAATAAGAATTAAGGCAAGAATGTTGCTCGTTCAAGGTAGCAGGGCCAACATTCAAATCCAGCTCTGACTCCAAACAGCAGAAATGTCTCAGCCCTCCCTCTCAACCTCTTCAATACCCAAAATGACGCAAAATGTCCACCTTTCAGCAACATGTTATTAACCACGGCAGCGATTCCTGATAAACCACACCTAGGACCAAAGACCCGGGGAGGCTACAACCTCCCAGCAGCCAAGGAGGGGGTGAGAAAGTTGGCTTCTGGGTTGGCAAAAGCAATGCAGACTGAGCTGACTGCCGTTTGCTTTGAATCCCACCAGGAGATAAAGCACAGGAGACAGATGAGCAGTGTTCCTGGCAACAGATGAAGAGTGAAAATGAAATCTATTCTAAGCTGCCAACTCGCACCTCTCCCTCAGTTTAACAAGTGAATTATTGTCGAATTTGCAGCTACGGACATGCCAGTTATGGTTCAAAACCCTTTCCGTCTTAGCCCCATCTCAGTCAGCCAGAATTGGCAGGGAAGGATTTTAAAAGAAAAAAGAATGAATGAATGAACTAATGAATGAATGAAAAGAAAAAGACACTTTTTAGCCACTGTTTTCCAAAGTGAATCTTAAGTTAGCATGACTCAGCACAGTCTTCGCTGACCTGTCTTCGGTCAGAGAGCTCCCCAGAGGTTTTTCTTAGGCCGGTGAAGGGAACATTTCACCCCATTCACTCCCTTGTCTTTAACTGGTATCTTATTCAAACAGATTTTTTTCCTGCAATTGTTAAAAATTTCAAACACAAAACATCAAACAGGATATAGGGTCCTTACTGAGCCAAAGGAAAATAGAAAATGATTTTGGATTAAGAAACTTGCTCAATGAAGAGATGCTACTTTGAGACCTGCAGAATGGAGTCAGGAAACCATGAGATTTATTATAAGGAAAGGGAAAAGGAAGGGCCCCCGACCGCTCCTCCATATGCTAAGACATTTATATATGTTAACTCATTTAAATACACAGCCACTGGATTGGATAACTACCACTTTTATCATTCCAATTTTACAGAGGGGGAAACTGAGTCACTGAGCGGTTAAATTACCCAAAGTAAAAAATATATATATATTTATATATGACATTATATATATTTTTATATATTTTATAAATTATAAACTATAAAATTATAAATTATAAAATATTTATATATTTATATATGACATTATATATATAAATTTATGACTATATATTTATATATGACATATATGACATTTTATATATGACATATTTACATGACATATATTTATATGACATTATATTTATATTATAAATATAAATATTATAATTATATATGACATTATATATAAATATATGACATTTACATGACATATATTTATATATTTATAGATGACATTTATATATAAATATATATGTATGTATACGTATGCCTCTGGTTGAACTCCAGCAGTTTGGAACAAGAGGCTGCACTCTTATCCACAATACTCTACAGCCCCTTGGTGCTGACTCCAAGGTGACTAGTTAGAAGGGATATTCATGAAGACAATGACCTCACTAAATGGAGGGACAGCCTAATGAAGCCGAAAGCAATGTGTTATGGGCACACACAGGAAACAGCTGGATGAGATGGGAGATTAGGGACCACTTCACAGAACAGGTAGATTTGGGAAAGACCTTGGGAAATAGGATTTTGGAAGGTTAAAAATAAAAAGAAGAACCTTCTAAACTGTTCCTCTCTCTTGAAGCCAGGTGTGCACCTTCCTGTTGTACCCCCAGCTTGGCGGTTCACTGCGATTTTAACTCAAAAAACTGAACTCATCATAACTTTCCTTTCTCTCCAAACCTGCATCTCCGTACTCTGCCTCAGATGGTGGCTCCTCCCATTCACCAACCACTGAACTTGGAAGTTAACCTTGATAGATATTATTTACCCCCTTAATATCTAATTCTAATATCTATTCAACCCCTCAATATCTAATCAATCTAATAACTTCTTTCACCTCCTCAATATCTAATCAATCCTTCCCCTCACAACCTTGTCTTGAAAAGAAATGCAATTGAAGTCGAAGGCCTGGCCTAAGGGACACACAGGACAGTCTCTGTGGATGCCTTCATGGGAAATATTCCTAAGTCAGTCTGTAGAGTGCATGTAGGAACAAGCCAAGAACTTGGTTTCTTAGACTTGTCAATCGCTAGCAGCTGCAAGATGAACTCACCTTCCTGGGCCTCATATTCCTCCTCTAGAAAATGACAGAAGAAACAAGAAAGATTAGAAATGAATGGACTAATTTATTTCTAAGTTCTTTTTTAGTTCAAAATTCTTTCTTTGCTTTCCATCCTGTCATTTCCAGGCTTAAGAACATGCAATAAATCCCTTTTTGTGGCTGCATCAAGTTGTAATGAGCCCTCTTCCCATCCTTCATCAATTTTGAAGCCAGACAGTTTTGATATACTTGGGAATTCTGTTCCTCAGAGGGTAGGAATCCCCAGGAAATGGCCTCACTGTAGTCTTTTGGGTCTCCATTCTAGTTACCACGTTTAGCCCATCAGTTCCTTTATTCTAGACTAAAGGACAGGCCTAAATGACCTGGACAAAGCTTCCTTTTCTACGAATCATGCTCTGGTTTCTGCCTGGGTCCCTTGGGAGTGAGGGCTTCTCCCAAGCAGAGGCATCCACGGACTTATCAGCCAGACACATTAGAAAGAAAACAGAAAAATCCAGATGACAGAGAAAAGTCCAAGACAGAACAAGGCCACAAGCCCCATAAAACTCCTAAATTTGCAAGAAGAAATCCCCAAAAGAAAAAGCATCCAGGTGTAATAAGAAGATGATTTTTTCCCTACCAAAATTATGCATGAACACACACACACAACCCATGCAAACACATGCGCACATGCACACATGCCAACACACATGCACACACACAACCCAAGGTCACAGCTCAAGACTGTGTCTTTAAGAGAGAACTCCCCTTCACAGTCAAATGAGGCAGGAGAAATCTTGAACTACTCTTAGAAGACAAATGGTGTCCCTCTCACACAGTCTGCCAGATAAACAGTAGGTGCACAACCAATATCTGTCAAATGAAGAATGAATACATTAACATTGTAATGTTCTTCTCAACAATATTTTTATTTTTTATTTTTTAACAATATTTTTAATAACAAAATCCAATTCAAGCCACCATAAATATTTGACCAAATACAGATTTTTTCTCACTAACCACTTAGCCTTTGAGTGTCTGTTTTTGTGTTTTAGAAATTTGCCTAATTAAAACCATTATTATTACATTTATTTTAATGATGAGGAAACTGAGGTTCAGAGAGTCTAGGCACTGTTTTCTGAGTAACAGAGTTGTGAGTGAAGCCAGCATTCAAACCCACTTTTATATAAGTTCTAAGCTGGTACCTGTCCACCTCCCTGTGTACTGATAGGGAGAAATATGAGCCAACTTCAAGATAAATAGGTTCAAGTTTTATTATCTGTCTACCCTTGAACATGTTGAAAAAGGTAGAATTTTACTTTCCTCTTTGCCTGGTCAATATATGCCTCTTAGAAGCTGTGTCAAGAGGGATATCATGTTTCTTTAAAGAGTATTCGTTTTCCATTTGTAGAAGTGATGACTTTACTGCAAGGCTAATATTGCATTACTATGGATTTTTTAACTTAATTAAAATTAATGAGTTTTTCAGCTGTACTCCACCCTCCTAAGAACTTTTCTTCAGACGCTGGAAGTACCATCAGGTATATTTGGTTATTGTCTTTCAATTCAGAAAGAAAAATAGGGACAAAACAGCCTTTATTTCCAGGAGTGCAGAGTTGGAAGGTAGAGAGAATAGAAAGGGATATTTTCCTTTTTTTCCTTTCCTATTACTGTCACTCAGTCTATTCCCTTTGCGGTTTAACTGAGTTTTCTAGCCCTGTTGATTCTTATGGAGCCCACCAGTCTTTCTAAGAAACCTCTGACAAAAACACAAAGCCTTTAAGTCAGACTCAGAGATGTTAACATTAGCTGGCTTATCTAGACATTAGCTAAAGTGAATGTCAAATGAGGCTAAATCTTGAAGAGAAAAAAAAACAGAAGAGGATATGTTTAGTCACTGAAAAGGCTTTGCTCTTCCAAATGACAGATCCATACACTTATAGTTTTAAGAGCTTTTGTTATTTAGAGATAATTTCTATAATGAAGTTCAAATTTCTATAAATTGTCAAGAAAAAACTAGTAAAATTACTGCTTAGATTGTGGAAGCATTAGGAATTAATTTTGATGTAGGTACACATTCACATGTAGTTGCCTATATGCAGATACACACACACACACACACACACACACACACACAAACCCCTCCCCTCTCCACCCTGCTCACTTCAGAACTGCTAGAGAAGAAGTTTTATTCCTGTAACCTAGTGTTTCCTCAAGTATGAATTGGTATCTCCTAGTGTGATTCCCTGTGTCTTGCTGATGCTCACCTCACTCTTCCTCTGGGTGCAGGGGTAGTACATGCTCTGATAGTAACTTTGAGAAGACAAACTGGGTGTGCATGGTTCAGCCTCTTCCAGTTCTATCTCTATGGGACTAGCCTGCTCTCAACCATATGCTAAGTTTATCTGTAAAGCCCCCTGTTCTGTTGGTGAGCCCATTCCCACCCTTGACTGTGTGGAGGTGGATAACTGTCTCATTCTGACATTCAGTATCAGGAAGCCCATGGTCGCAACTCATCCAGCCCACATTTCCTGATCTAGCTTTAACAGCCATAGTAGCTTGCTCTCCATTCACTGGATTCTTTTTTCTCTCTCAGCTGGTTCAGAACACAGGCCCCGGCAGAGAAGGGAATTGTGTATTTACCCCAACAACCCTCAACAATGACAGCTCCTTCCGTCTTCTAACCTCTGGGCAGACACTGACTAAAGGAAGAAAGCACAGAGAGGATCTCTTGACGGAATGCAAAAGACTTCCCTAGATGTCTGCTATCAAATGTCTTCCTTTTAATCTTGGGAGTAGAAAGGGAACCTGGCTTCCTTTCTGGACTTAACCATGAAACCAGCACCATCACATCACCCCTAAACAGAAACTAAGACCCTTCCACATGCCCCTTGTCACCACAACCATCCTCTACTGACCCATTTTTACAGATTAGACACCTCTTTGGACTTCACTTCCCTCACACATGCAGTAGGGATAATAGATAACAGAATTATCCACCTCATAAGGTTACTAGGAGGATTAAGTGAAACAACAGATGGAAAGGTAGCTGACACTGGCACAGTCTCAGTAAAATTTACCTAGAATCGTTATTTCCGTGTTTTTGTTTTTATTTCACATTGCCTTTTTGTTGTTGCAATAAGAATGACAATGAGGTCCAATGAGGTTATGCTCCTTACACAAACACTCATTTCACAGTTTGGCATCTGTTTGCTTTGACGTCTTGCCCATCTTTTATCTGGTTGTTAGTGTAATGCTGAATTAGCGTCAGTGGACAGGTCTCTTTTATATGTGCATATTGTTAGAATCCTGATCATATTTTCAAAGTGATCCTTTAATCAAGAGAGACAGGACCTCTGTGTGCCAAGAGTTCTCACTCAGTTCTGCACTGATTGGTAAAGGTGTTAATGGCACCAGCCTATAATTAATTATATAGCCCTCAAAGGTCAGCATTTCCATTATCTCCAGCTCCATCACTAATGTGTCTAAAGTGAGGAAAGAAAGGCGCACGGGAAGACCCTAATGTGCCCTTCGAGGCAGTTACACTCCTTGGAGGCCAGTGGGAGCCAGTGTGTGGTAAGAGAAAATCAGGACAACAGGGGGCAGGTGATTTTAAGAGAGTGATAGTTCAGTTCCCCTTCCTGTGTCCATGTGTTCTCATTGTTCAATTCCCACCTATGAGTGAGAACATGTGGTGTTTGGTTAAATGAAGAGTTAATGGGTGCAGCACATCAACATGGCACATGTATACATATGTAACAAACCTGCACGTTTTGCACATGTACCCTAAAACTTGAAGTATAATAATAAAAAAAAAAAGAGAGCGACAGTTCAGAATGGAAGGCTGTTGGCCTTGAAGTCAGAAATTCTGGTTCAAGTTACCTATCTGCCACTAACTTACTGGATGAACCCTGAAAACAAAAGGGAACCAGCATTTTTCTGCCAGATACCTAAGTGCATGATTTCATTTCACCTTTTCAACATCACCATGAGGGAGACATTATTCCCCTCCAATTCACAAGGAGTGAAAATTAATCTCAGGCTAGTGAACTAACTTACTCAAGGGCACACAGCTGGCATGCTGCAAATATAGGGTTTAAACCCTGGAAACTGACTTATTTCACTGCATCCTGCTGTTTCTAAAATATTATCCTAATCTCCAAGATAAGGGGCTGCCTCCACATTAAAATCTGCTCATATCCTACTTATCAACCAAGGAGAAGTTCAATGCTACCTTCTCCATGTTGCTGCCTCTGTTCCTCCCAGCTAGAGGTGACGTCTCTTTACCCTTTATGTGCCAGAGTTTGTAGCAAGTTATGAGTAAAGGAGTCTTATCATTCCCCTCTGCCTCAAATACACTAGCTCTGTTGAAAGCATTTTCTTTCTGCCTAAAATGGATGTAAATTACTAGTTCTTACACTGGGAACAGCACCTTCTTTTCCAGGAGCTTCTCCTTCACTTCCCACTAGAGTGTTCTAATTGGTATTTCTAGCTTCTTGCAAACCGTATCTCACTGATTATATCAACTTCAAGCTAGTCAATCATGATACCACATCTTTCATCCTTTCTCCCCTCCCAGTTGATTAGTCTAGCATGAAACAAGCAAAAGAGAGAGTCTGGAAGTGGAAGCAACAAGATGCAAAACATAGTAGTAAAATTACTGCTTAGATTATGGCAGTGTTAGGAATTAATTTTGATGCAGGTACACATTCATATGCAGTTGCCCATATGCAAATACACACACACACACACACACACACACACACACCCCTCTTCCCTCTCCACCCTGTTCACTTCAGAATTGCTAGAGAAGAAGTTTTATTCCTATAACCTAGTGTTTCCTCAAATATGAACTGGTATCTCCTAGTGTGATTCCCTGTGTCTTGCAGATGCCCATCTCACTATTCCTCTGGGTGTCTACGTCCCATCCATGTGGAGAATGCAGTGCACATTGGATGGGCTGAAGCAGAGACAAGAGACCAACGCTAGGCCCAGCACGGTGGCTCACACCTGTAATCCCAGCACTTTGGGAGGCTGAAGCAGGTGGATCACGAGGTCAAGAGATCGAGACCATCCTGGCTAACACGGTGAAACCCCGTCTCTACTAAAAATCACAAAAAAATTAGCCAGGCATGGTGGCAGGTGCTTGTAGTTCCATCTACTTGGGAGGCTGAGGCAGGAGAATGGTGTGAACCCAGGAGGCGGAGCTTGGAGTGAGCTGAGATCACACCACTGCACTCCAGCCTGGGCGACAGAGGGAGACTCCGTCTCAAAAAAACAAAAACAAAAAGACCAAGACTACTCTAATCCTGATGGTACCCAAGTCCTCCACATCCAGTTTAGCTACATCTCTACAATGCTTGCCATTTTGTAGTTCAATGGATACCACAGTACCTTTGCACCAAATTCTTCTTTTTGCCTTGCTTAGTTACTGGAACTAAAATCCCCTGATACAATTGCAGTATCTATCCTTCTGGTGGTGTGTGTATGTATGCATGTATGTATGTATATATTTGTATGTATATATGTATGCATGTGTTTGCATATATATGTATATACATGAGTGTATGTGTGTATATATAAAATATCTATTTTATTTACATATGTGTTTGTATATATGTGTATATATATAGTGTGTGTATATATATATATATACACATACACATACACATATGTAAATAAAATAGATAATCCCTGACTCAGGATGGTTCAACTTGAGATTTTTTGACCTTACTGTGATATGACAGTGATACACATTCAGTAGAAACAGCACTTTGAGTCTTCATACACTTTTTTTTCACTTTTAGTATAGTACTCAATAGATTACATTAGATATTCAACACTTTATTATAAAATAGGCTTTGTATTAGATGATTTTGCCCAACTGTAGGCTAATTTAAGTGTTCTAAACACATCTAAGGTATGCTGTTCAGTAAGGTATATTAAATGCATTTTCAACTTAGAATATGTTCAACTTAATGATGTGTTTATCAGTGCTTAACCCCATTGTAAACTGAGGAGCATCTGAGTAAATTCTCACTATTCACGGATTCCATACTTCAACATTTGCCTACTTGCTAATATTTGTGGATAACCCAAAATAACCTATACTCAAAACACTTTCACGGTCACTTGCAGATATGTGCAGAGAAGTGAAAAATTTGAGCCATCTGAAGTGGACATTCCCAGCTGAGGTTGAACAAGGCAAATCTCTGACTTCTTGATTCAGCTCATACTGTAAACCAGCATCCATTGGTGGTCTAGTTATGGCCACGTTTTTCATATTCTTGTACTTTTGTTGCTGATTTCATCATTTAAATGACCCCTGAGAAGAGTGCCGAAATGCTGTCTCCTGTCTCTAAGTACAAGAAGGCTGTGATGTACCTTATGGAGAAAATAGGCTATTAGGTAATCTTCATTTAGGCATGAGCTTTAATGCTATTTGGCAATGAGTTCAATGTTAATAAACAATATGTGTTAAACAAGGGGTCTCGAAACAGAAATACACACAAAACACAAGGCTATATATTGACTGCTCAGTGAAAATATTGTGACCACAGACTTGTAGGAACCTAACTCTGTATTTCTGTTAGAAGCATTGGTTCGGTAGTTGCTAATTCAGTGTTCAGAATGACTTTATAGAACATAATGACTGTAAATAATGAGAACTAATTGTGTATATGTATATATATACTATATATTGTGTGTGTATATATATGTGTATATATATAGAGAGAAGATAAGTACTGAGAATAATGAGAACCAACTGTGTTCTCATTATTATATATACAGGTATATACACACACGTATACAGTTGAACATATTTATGATAGTGATCTTCTATCTATATATACCTATACATATATGTAAATATATACAAAGACAGGCAGGCGCAGTGGCTAACGTCTGTAATCCCAGCACTTTGGGAGTCCAAGGCAGACGGATCACAAGGTCAGGAGATCAAGACCATCCTGGCCAACATGGTGAAACCCCATCTGTACTAAAAATACAAAACTTAGCTGGGCATGGTGGCATGCACCTGTAATCCCAGCTACTTGGGAGGCTGAGGCAGGAGAATCACTTGAACCAGGGAGTCGGAGGTTGCAGTGAGTGGAGATTGCACCACTGCATTCCAGCCTGGTGACAGAGCAAGGCTCCGTCTCAAATAAATATATACACACACACACACACACACACAGACAACATAACTACTGTGAATATGTGTATATATACACATATATATTCACACATATACATATACATGTATGTGTGTGTGTAAATGTGTGTATGTATAGGGTGAGGAGATTTACCGTAAATATTTTCCAACAATCATTTGGAAATGAATACTTTGGATTCACCTGGATGTGAATTTCTTATACATTCTTGACCTCTTTCCTTACAACCCCTGCTTTCCTCTGAATATGAGAAAATAAATGTCTGCTGAGTGAAAGATGTTGATTATCTGACCTGCCTGATCAGATGCTGATTATCAAGCATCCACTATCTGTCAGTATATAACTTAATATCACAGCTTGTCTGCACAGTGACTGTAAGAAGCAGTAACCATCCTGCTAGGAAGAAGAGCAGCTTATCCTGGCGTTGCCCGTTGTTAAGGGCACCCCGACTGAACATATGTAGACTCCAGTCTCTACACCAAATCCTAGACCTGGAGATTAACCTCAAGAGAAAGATGTGAAGTAGAGAACAGGGATCTGGGCCAAATACCTGAGCTCAGTTCTTGGCTGCACACTTATTAACTGTGGGCCTTGCTTGTCACTTAATATTCACATACTCCATGAAAAGTTCCCTTTGCCACAAGAAGGCACTGTAGACTCATCCTTGTCCAGAAACTCGGTTTGAACTGTCCCTGCAGTCATGTAGGCACTGGGCTGATGCTGGAGAGCCCCACACCCTCAGTCCCTCCCCTGTTATCTACTCATACAATAGTTAAGGCAAGAAGGTTCTGCCTAAGGCTACACAGCACAGCTACACACAATGGTTTAGAGAGTACTTGAGCCTACAGCTGGGTACCCAAGCCAGCAGAAATAACCAGCCAGAGACAAAACTAAAGATGCTAGCAGGGATGAAAGTAAGTAGAGTAATTAAACGCCCCCATGAGGATTCTGTGATAAGGGGAAAGGTGAATGGTAGCATGGTGGGCAAAAGCTATCCAGTGGCTACTTTCAAATTAGGAAAACAAACAGACAACTCCATGGGGAATCTTTAATGATTTGGGGAACCAGGCCTCCATGGCTGAGTCTTCTGCTCATGAATGGAAGCTGCTGACTAGTCACATTCATTAAATAAAAGAGAATAACAGATTTTCTGTAGGTCTAAACACTTTCTAGTTGGCAAAGCACTTTCTTTATATGGTCTTTCATTTGATTCTCTCAAATACCCTAAGAGGAGGTGGTTGGAATTACACTGGAAAGGAAATCAAGGCAAAAAAGTTAGGTGAATTGCACAAAGTCATATTGACGATGAAAGGGAAAGCTAGGGCTAGGATCCAGGTCATTTGATGCTAAACCCAGATGTTTTCCCACCCACTGTCACTGTCCCCAGGAGACCTGAGAACACTAAGCCCTGTTGGAAGCATCTTCTAAGCTCCTTCATTGGAGACTAGCAATGATAAGCTTCACCACCCTACAAAGAGCAAAGAAACTGGACATCTGTCAAGGAATAAATATCAAGCTTGACTCAAAAATCTTCTCATGGGACAGCAGAAAATGCTTTTTAATGTTCCCCAGATGATTTTGATGTGCGCCAGGGTTGAGAATCACTGGACTAGAGTAGTGCTTCTCATTGGTACGCATCAGAATTACCTGGAGGGCTTATGAAAAGACAGCTTGCAGCTGGGCGCAATGGCTCACGTGTGTAACCCCAGCACTTTGAGAGGCTGAGGCAGGCAGATCACCTGAGGTCAGGAGTTCGAGGCCAGCCTGGGAAACATGCTAAAACCCCATCTCTACTAAAACCAAAAAATTAGCTGGGTGTGGTGGCACATGCCTGTAGTCCCAGCTACTCGGGAGGCTGAGGCAGGAGAATCGCTTGAACCTGGGAGGTGGAAGCTGCAGTGAGCCAAGATCGCGCCACTGCACTCCAGCCTGGGTGACAGAGTGAGACCCTGTCTCAAATTAAATAATAAAAAAAAATAATAAAAGACAGCTTGCTAGACACCACTCCCTGAGTTTCTGATTCAGTAGGTCTGGGGTAGAGGCCAATAATTATTAATAAGATGCTGCTAGTCCAGGAGCCACACTTGAGAACCACTGAGCTGGAGCATGCAGGGCTCAGTCCTCGCCTTGCTCTCTTCTTAAGACCTACTGGTTTGCAGAGCATTTCTTCCTAGTCAGCTCCCATATCAGTGCCACACTCTGTGGAACAAGCTTTGACTCTTCTGTGGTGAAGTGTGCAATTTTTTTAAGGGAACCCCAGAAAAAGCTTAGGTCAGAACCATATTTCCCAACCCAGCTGTGCTTGAAATAAAGCTAGTATTTCTGACCCCTGGTACAATTTTTCAATAGATTCTGTACTCAAAAGAGGAAGACAGGGCATTATTCTTCTGCACAACACCACTAAAGCAGCAGTATGTACTGGGAAGCCATCCTTCTCTGATCTGAGTCCCAAGCAGAGATATGTGGGGCAGAGCTGATCTGACCTGGAGCCCCAAGCCGAGCAACCTCAGCCAATATGTGGACATGTGAGTGAGACATGCATGTCTGTTACTACATGATACTGCATTTTGGGGTGGATGGTTAGGCAGCATTAATATAGAATCACTGACTAGTAAGAGAGGGATAATAGAAATCCAGAATGAGATTAAAAAGGGAACACATGAGTAGAAATATTCATAATAGAAATTATGAGTGTATTAGTCAGGTTCTCCAGAGAAACAAACATTAGGGGGTATCTTTTATAGATCTATATCTATATCATCAACAGATTTCTTATAAGGAATTCGCTCATGCAATTATGGAGGCTCACAAGTTTCAAGATTTGCAGTCAACAAGTGGGAGAACCAGGAGACCCAATGGTATAGTTCTAGTTCACAGGTTATCAGGATTGAGACCCAGGAAGAGCCAATGTTTGAGCTGGAGGCAGAAAATAGGAAAAATCTGTTTTAGTTTGAAGGCCATCAGGTAGGGGGAATTCCCTCCTACTCAAGGGAGAATCAGTCTTTTTGTCCTATTCAGGCCTTCAACTGGCTGGATGAGGCCCACCTACATTGAAGAGCACAATCTGCCTCACTCACTCTGATAGAAATGTCAATCTCAGCCTAAAAGACCCTCATAGGCACCCAGAATAACATTTGTTCAAATGTCTGGGCACCCCATGGCCCAATCAAGTTAACATATAAATTAACTATCACAATAAGCAAGAATGCTCCCAAAGTAAATAAATAATAAGACCAGATACTGAACAAGTTCATAGAATCTCAAATAGCATAGAAAAAAAAAGCCCTCAACTAGACATATGTAGTGAGCTTGAAGCACTTAAAAGACAAGGAAAAAATAAAAATACAGAGAGAAATAGCAGGTCAAGTGCAAATAGATAAAAATTGGGCTTTAAAATTGGTGTCATGGTCAGTCTCCAGCCCCTGTCTGGGTCAAATCCAGCTGAACCAATTACCAGCAACAGATCATTAGGCAAATTACTGAACTCAGTCCTCAGTTTCCTTTTTTATTAAAAAATAGCTAATGATAACTATAATACTAACATTTACAAGGGTATTTATGAGGAGTAAATGAATACTGAGTTCCTAGAATAATACTTGCACAAAGGAAGTGATAGGCAAGTGTTCACTGCTATTATTTACATCAGGCTTTTAACATTCGCACCAGATGCTAGCAGATGATGACAAAACACTGTTAAGTGTTGTAGGGTGAAAACACTGAACTTACAGTTTACATTCCACTAAGCTATAATTTAAAATTCATATAAAACATATTCTTGGATGTTTAAGACCTCACAACGTTTACCTTTAAAACGCCCTTTATGAAAATATTCATGGAAGAAAAAATAGGACAAGAAAGGAGCCAGACAAACGTGGGACTAATGGTAAGTAACTCAATAAAAGTCAATTTTGTTTACATTAGTGACCAAAAAGATTAAAAAAAAAAAAAAAGGAAAAGCACATCTGTAGCAGCACAGAGGTAAAATTATTGATGAAATCAATATCATTGGGGTGTGCGGCTGGGGCGTCATGAGAGAGATTAGGGTGCAAAACAGGGTCAGAGAATAGTAAGATTTTTCCTTTTTCAGAGGGAAGACATTGATATTCATTTAAGGACAACAAATATCTATTGGATTCCTGATATGCAGCATGCATTATTCTAGACAGTAGAGACATATAAGTGAACCAGGCAAAGATCTCTGCTCTTGTGGAATTTACATTCTAGAATGTGTGGTACAGGGGGAGGAGATGGGAGGCAAATAAATAACAGTGAACATGTCAGTAAATCTTTGGCATTTAAAAAAATTAAATAAACTTTCAGGTTTGGCTCCAAAATGTAAAGATCCTGGAAGCTGCCACTCCTGTCCTTACAATAAAAATGCTAGACAAATAAATCACTTTTCTCAGATCCACTAGAAAACTGAATTTATAAGGCAAACCATCACCCTGAAGAGACTGACAAAATCCAGAGAGTCACAACCAAGATCTACTTCCCTGGAGCAGAAGCTACTGAAGCCAGGAAGTGGTAGGACACTTAAATGGTCACTTTGATGAACTGCTGGAGGCTGAGTGTGGACTAGCCCCAGAATGAGAAACTCCTGGGTCCCCCAGTCTTAGGGAGACCCCAGGCTAAGAGGGACCTGACATCATCATGGATTTTGCCTCCAGGAATCTCTTCTCATGGTAAATATCCAAGAAAGATTGCCTGCTGGCACTGGCAGGGGAAGGAAAGAGTAATCCTTCTGAAATACCTCCCAACCTTCTTCATAAGAAAGACTTTCTCCAGAGGAAAAGACCTCACTAGAGCTTTGTCTCAGAGTCCCAAGGGGAAGGGCATTCCTGTCACTTCAGCCCCCTCTCTGCTTCATGTCTCCCCTAAGCGGGGAAGCTATACAAGAAGAAAAACACGTGGGTAGGGCAGAAGCCATAGACACAGGCCCACTGAAGAACTGAGATGTAATTGGAAAATTATAGAACACCACTCCTCACCCCTAAAACTACAACAACAGACTCTCTCTGAGGAGGAGCATTTAGGGAAGCCCAAAGTCAAGAGGAAAGTCAAAAACAAAACCATTAGAGGCATCTGAAGCCTTTGGCACCTGTAGCAAAACAGTTTATTTAAAAGCCCTTCTCCTATCCAGATTTAAATAAATCCTCACACAAGAGAGCTGTTTACCCCTCTCTTATCTGATACAGTGTCAAACATGATGGTATGCACGCTTAACACGATATAATGAAAATGGCACTTTACCTCTGTGCTCTTCCTGTCAAAACTCATAACCTGGCCAGGCACGGTGGCTCACGCCTGTAATCTCAGCACTTTGGGAGGCCGAGGCGGGCAGATCACGAGGTCAGGAGATAGAGACCATCATGGATAACATGGTGAAACCCCATCTCTACTAAAATACAAAAAATTAGCCGGGCTTGGTGGTGGGCGCCTGTATTCCCAGCTACTTGGGAGGATGAGGCAGGAGAATGGCGTGAACCCGGGAGGCAGAGCTTGCAGTGAGCCAAGATAGTGCCACTGCACTCCAGTCTGGGCGACAGAGCGAGACTCCATCAAAAAACAAAAACAAAACAAAACAAAAAAAAAAACACCCTCATAACCCCGGTCTAATTATGAGAAATACATCAGACAAATCTCAATTAAGAAACACTACTCAAAATACCTGATCAGTACATCTCAAAATTTCTTTGAAGATTATCAAAACAAGAAAAGTATGAGAAACTGTCACAGCCAAAAGGAGGCCAAAGAGACATGACCACTAAATGTAATGTGATATTTAGGTGAAATCTTGGAACAGAAAAAAGACATTTGGTAAACACAAAGGAAATCTGAGTCAAGCATGGACCTTAGATAATAATCATATTACAGCATTAGGTCATTACCTGCGATAAATGTAGCATACAATGTAAGAGGTTAACGATAAGGGAAACCAGGTATGGGGTGTATGGGAATTCTTCATACTATTCTCAGAATACTTTTCTAAATCTAAAAATATTCTAATATTACAACTTTATTTTTAAAAATAACAACAACTAAGCCGTTAGGACATAATTCAGTTCAGAACCTTGTATCAGCTCCTGAGGCAGCTTTCTTATTAGTATTTTGCTTCTTAGAAAAATGCAGTTGGAGTTTGACACATAGAAAGGTATTGAGAACTAGACAGCACTCTTCTGACATCACCAGCTAGTATGAGTCAAAATGGCGTTACTATATGTCACCATGCCATGCTGACAATATAGATGCACATGAGCTTTCTAAAATAAACATCTTAAATTACACACTAAAATAATTCAGGTCTTACCCAATTAACTTTTCAATAGCTCTCTCAAAATATTTCTAGTAAACAGGGCTAGAAAATACTCTTCATTTTAAAAATGCTAAATTAACTAATGAAAAAAGAAAAAGAAGAGCAGAGCAAGTGTATAAGGACTGGGTATTTGGGAAGATGGATCTGGAAATGACGAGGGGAATGGGCCGGTCAAAATGGTAGATAAGGTAATCAGAATAGGCCTCATTTGAGGGGATGAGATTTGAGCAAAAACATGAAGGAAATAAGAGTTAGCCATGACAATATCTGGAGAAAAAGCACTCCAGGCAGAGGAAACAGTCAATGCAAAAATCTTAATTTGAAAATATGCTAGTGGAAACATACTGGAACAACAGCAAAAAGGCCAGTATAGCTATGGCAAAGTCAGGAAGGGAGAGAGAGTAGAAGATACTGTCAGATCATCCATGGTCTTACAGACCACAGCAAGAACTCAGATTTTTTCTTTGAGTAAAATGGGAGCTTTTGCAGGGACTTGTACAGAAGGATGACACGATCTAACCTTATATTTTAAAAGACACTGGTTGCTATGATGAACATACCATCATAGGAGGGATCTATCAGAAAGCTCTTCATTAACTGGGGATAGGGGATAGGTGATATCAGTGGAAGCACTGAAAAGTGGTGAGATTCTGGATCTATTCTAAAGGTAGAGCCAGTACTATTTCCTAATGAATTGGATGGTGATTATCAGAGGAACAGAGGAATTAAGAATAACTCCAAAGCTTCTAGCCTGGGTAACTGGAAGGATAGGAATTGCCATAAATTGAAAGGGAGAAGGTTGCAAGTGGCTCGGTTTTGCAGAAAGAGAAAGTAATAAGATCTTAAGAAAAATCAATGAATTAGATAGAGCTCCAGAGAGGGTAAGCTGAAAATATAAGAGAAAGGACAGAATGGGATGCATGAAATTGAAATAATAGGGGCTTCCTAATTATTATTAATGACAAGATATAGAGATATAAGCAGGAAAATGATTTAAAATTAAATATATCTGCCTTAATAGGAAACATTTAAAAGTTGAAACTAGAGATGATAAACATGAACAATGAAAAAACTAAGGTAGCAATGCTAATATTCAAGGCAAATAAAAACACAGGGAAAAGAACACATTGTAAAATATATAATCATCATAATATATATTCGCCAAAGATTCAAAGTATTTAAAAGCAACAATTCACAGAAGCATAGACAGAAATAGGTAAATCGAACTTTTTATTTGGATATCTTAATTCATATAAAGCAGTCACAGAAAATAACATTTAGAAGAAATTTTGAATAACACTATTGCTAAGCTTGAATTAATATATGTGTACACTCAACACAAAGACATTAGCAATTGTCTCTGAGCATCATGGAACATTTGCAAATCAACCACATATTAGCCCACATACCCTAAGTCATACCAAAAATCACATTTTATTCACTATATTCCCCTTAGCTTAATGTATTATAAATTAATAATAAAATATAATGTATTAATTTCCTATATCTAGAAAATAAATTCCAAGTAATCCATATGTTAACATAAAATCATGGGGAACATTATAAAATATTTAGAGCTGATTGACAGTGAAAGCTCTACAGTTCAATACTGTGGTTCTTCACCACTATGCAATACTTACAGGGTACATTACAACTTTAAATACAGTCATTATACAATAAGAGAATTTAAAAACTAGTGGAATTAACTGTCAAATGCAGGAGCTAGAAAAATACCAAGATAGTAAAACTGAATAAACAAGGAGGAATGAAATAATTAATTTAGTGGCAAAGGTCAATGAAAAAGAGCAGTGTTAACAACCAAAAACTCAATAGGGATCGTTTTCAAGACAAAAGTTTTTTTTTGTTTTTTTTTTTTTTTTTAATGACAGACCTTTTACAATACTGATTACAGAGAGAAATAATTCATAATGTATAATTTAAATGTCATATTGTATTAGTCCATTTTCACACTGCTATAAAGATACTACCCAAGACTGGGTAATTTATAATGAAAAGAGGTTTAACTGACTCACAGCTCCACATGGCTGAGGAGGCCTCACAAAACCTACAATCATGGTGAAAGGAAAAGCAAACACATTCTTCTTCACAAGGTGACAGGAGAGAGAAGTGTGAGAAGTGAAGGGGAAAGAGCCCCTTCTAAAACCATCAGATCTCATGAGAACTATCATAAGAAGAGCATGGGGAACCACCCCCCATGATCCAAATCACCTCCTACCAGGTCTCTCCCTAGACATGCGGGATTATAGGGATTACAAATCAAGATGAGATTTGGGTGGAGAAACAAAGCCAAACCATATTAATTACTTAATAACAATAATCTATGTGAAGGAGTGAAATAGGATATACAATATAATGCTCATCACTCTTACTACATAGAATTAAAACATACAATTTCCTGTTGACTTTTCTATTTGGACATATATAGAATATGAATATAAATATCATCTTTGAAAAACAAAGTTGTGAATATAATCCAAATTATAATGATGAAAGAGGAAAGATCATCAAAATAGCAATGGAGACAATGCAAACAAAATATTAAGGTGACATTAACAGAAAGCATAAATCAACCATATAAATTGATGCAATAAATATGAACATGCTAAATACAGAATAAAATCTCGGATATGGGTTAAATAATTCGAAATCACTGCTACATACAAGAGATGACAAAAGTGAATTAACAAAAATTTTTTTTGTTTCAGTATGAAGTTGGACCCTTACCTCACATCAAAATAAAAATTAATTCCAAATGAATCAAAGACCTTAAGTGAAAGAGCTAAAAATATACAACTCTTAGAAAAAACATAGCCATACATTTTTATGACCTTTAGTTAGGCAATGGTTTCTTACATCTCACACCAAAAACATAAGCGAGAAAAGAAGAAAATACATGGAACTTCATCAGAATGGAAAATTTTTGTGCTAAAGAGATCATCAAGAAAGTGAACCAAAATAGGCAAAGATAGAACAAGATGGCAAAATAGAACCATCCAGTGATTGGCCACCCACATAAACTTCAACTTGAAGAAATGTCCACGTGCAGAAATACTTTTACAAGAGCTAAGGAAACTAGGTGAGAGATCATAGTACCTGGTTATAGCACAATCATAAGAAAAGACACCTTCAAGAAGGTAGAATAGACAGTTTTACATTACCTTTGTCATCCCTTCTTCAAAATCAGGTAGCACAGTACAGAGAGAGACTCTGACCAATTGGAGGAAAGAAAAGGAACTGAGCATAGGACATTACCTTGGACCCTAACACTGGGTCCGCCACAGTAAAATCCAGAATTAGGCAGACCCCTAAAGTCCCTAATTTCAGGGTGGTACCCATGGACTGAGCCTCCAGACCTGCCCCCATGCCACGCAGGAACCCATAGCATCTGAGAGGCAGAATCTATCTTCAATTCCATCTTTGGACTCCAAACAAACCTCAGGAGCAGGTAAGCATCAGCAGCTGTGGGCTTCAGGCATACTGCAGCTCCACACCAGCCTCAACAACCATAAGATTACAGCTCAGCACCACACCAGCTGCAGTGGTCCCAGGCTTAGGGTGTCCCCCAGTGCTTTAGTGTTCACAGTGGTCCCAGGCTTAGAGACCATGACAGATGGCATAACCAGAATCTCTAGACGGGCTTACTATTGAAAGGAATTCCAAAACTAAGCCAGTTTCCAAAGAGCAAAATAAGTACCTACTTATTCAAATGTGTAGATCTTGGCACATGGTAACAAAAATCAAGAATAATTAGGAAAACATAGCATCACCAAACAGACAAAATAAAGTGCCAGTGACAGATCCTAAAGAAAGGGGGATATTTGACATGTCAAAGAATTCAAAATAAGTCTTTAAAGAAAACTCAGTGAACATCAAGAAAATGCAATGAAACAATTCAACAAAATGAGAAAAACAGTAAGTGACCAGAATGAGAAATTTAACAGAGATTGAAATAATTTTTAAGAATCAAAGAGATATCAGGGAGCTGAAAAATACAATGAATAATGTGAAAATGCAATAGAGAGCATGTAAGGAAAATGGCTGCGCTCCACTCAGGAGTAGGCCTAGGCAGACATCCAGTGCAGCATGATACAGTAGGTTTGGAGTGCAGGCGCACAATCCCATGCACTATGTAATCACATCGCAGCCCTTTAACTCATTTGTGTGAGCTCATATCCGGCTTTGAGCACTATGTAATCACACTGCAGCCCTTTAATATAACTCGTTTGTGTGAGCTCATATCTGGCTTTCAGCTACTGTTGTCTGTGAAAAATATAACTGCACTTCTGACTCTGTAGGGGAGATGGGGGAGAATAAAGCCATGTCCCAAGTGCCTATGGTCCCTCAAGTGTTCTTTCAGCTACCCACCACCCATCCACCAGCTCCCTTTGGACCCCAACTTAGGTTGAAACCTGAAAATTGGCATAGTCAGCAGGATCCTGAGTTGAGAGAGCCCTCAGCCCCTGATGATCCTGGGTCAGCCATGTGGCCGCAACATGGGTTGTGGTACCCAGTGGCAGCCGTGCTGCTCAGATGGGCCCCAGTGGAAACATGGGCAGTGGTAGACAGCTCCCCCATGAGCCTAGAGAAGGCACTGAAGCACCTGGAAGCACAGAGCACTAGGAAGGAGCCTGTCTTTGCTGGCAAAGCTGGATGGGCATTTTTGACTGTGCTATGGGAAGTGCATGCTCAGTCCCTGTGGGATGCAGTGCAGATAAGGGAACTTCAGGTGCAAACAGAGCACCTGAAGGCCCAGATACACAGCCTGGAATGAGAATTGGGGGCTGCCATTAGTGCAGGCCTGGGCCCACCATCCGGTCAGAGACCCAACTCGGTCTGCTACTGAGGAGGAAGAACCGCCCTCACAGGCTCACCCAGTGGTCCATCACAAAGTAGAGCATGAACAGCAGTTGGGACCCCAAGAGCGGGCTCAGGGACCCCCTACCATGACAGAGCACACGTCATACAGTGCCTATACCCCAAATGAGTTGTGAGAATTAGGTAACCAGTGTCGACAGCATGCAGGGGAACCCCTACCCACCTGGAAGTTTCACCTTTGGGATGAGGGAGCTGACACTATAGTATGCTCTGCCTCTAAATGGAAAAGTTGTCCTCCATTATGACCCATCCTTCCTTCCATCAGTGATTGCAGGTGAGCAGGCAGTTAGCACAGGGGCAAGGCGACCACACCTTAATTGAATGGCTGATGGCAGCCATATGAATGGTATAGAGCGATGCTGAAGAAATACCAGAAACTGTGAGTAAATGGCAGTCATTTACAGATTTGGTGCAAGTCATTCAGGAGATGGGTATGCGGCAGGCTATATTTGATCTGAATACCTGAGGGCCAGATAATGAATGCTTTACCTCCCACATGAGGGACCTTGTGTTGGGCTCTGTGCCCCCGAGTGCCTTAGTCTCCCTGGCCACTGTCTTCACTCCCTATGTGGGGCATCTCATACATGAGGTGACTACTGCCATGGTGGCCCTCAGGGAAGTAGTGGGCCAAAGGCAGGATGGAGGAGTCCATACCATAAAAAAAGGAAGGCACCCCTTCTGCAGGGGGCCACCTCAAGGGAAAAAAGGGGCCTCAAATAGGTGACTCACACACAGACGCTGGGGTTGCCTGAGAGAAAATTGATAGGCACCCCAATGAAGTGCTGTTAACTTTGTGGAGGCAACACTCCCCAGAGCAGCAATTCCAGAAAGTACCCAAGAGGGGGCAGGACAATGCTACTCAACCCAGTTCTGCCCAGACACTCCAGCTCAAGGACTACCTGCAGATGAGGCAGAGGTATAGAGCCTATTGTATTTGATTAGGGGACTGGCCGAGGTGCCTGGCTTGGGGGGAACACCGGACAACTGGAGGCCACATGTGGAATTGGCAATCCACTGGTTCCCCACCAACGTACATCAGGTGCTGGTGCTGGTGCTGGTGCTGGTGCTGGTAGACACCGGTGCAGATTGTGATCTCATCAATGGAAACCTAGATAAGTTTCTGGGCAAGGCTGCATATATAGATGGCTATGGAGGCTGGTCAGTGAAAGTGAAATCTGCATCTTTCTCCCTTGGCGTTGGCTGCTTGACTCCCTGCTTATACAACTCCCTGTATTTCTCTCCCATACTTGAGTACATTCTGGGGGTGGATGTTTTACATGGCTTGACTTTACAAATCATGGTGGGAGAATTCAGACTCTGAGTACGTGTGGTTAAGCTGGTGCTGCACAGACATACGCATCACCGGCCCCAGGTCCTGCCATAACCCTGACGGGTTACTTCCACTCATCAACACTGCTTGGCAAGTGGACATACAGAGATAACTGAGACTATTAAGAAGTCAAAGGAGGTGAAGATAGTGTGTGGCACCCTACGATTCTCTGGTATGGCCAGTCAAAAAGTCTGATGGACCTCGGTGGATGATAGTGGATTATCAAGAACTAAATAAAGTAACACCCCCTTAAAATGCAGCTGTACCATCTATCATGGATTTGATGGACCGCTTGACAATGGAATTGGGACAGTACCACTCTGTGGACTTGGCCAACGCATTCTTTTCTATTGACATTGCTCCAGAGAGCCAGGAACAGTTTGCCTTCACATGGGAAGGATAACAATGGACTTTCATAGTGATGCCACAGGGCTATGTGCATAGCCCCACCATATGTCATCTTCTCGTTGCCACAGATTTAGCCACCTGGACATGTCCAAAGGGGGTCCACCTATTCCATTATGTTGATGATATTATGTCAATTCACTTCCAGGGTAGGAATTTAAAATGAAATCTGGGTTAACTACCCAGCATTGCATACCTAGCTCGGATATGTCATTTAAAAAGAAAACTAAGTTTCACACATATATCCTTAACACTTAAAAAAATTATTTTATTGTGGTAAGAACATGTAACATGAGATCTACCCTCTTCACAAATGTTTAGGTTTACAATAAAGTGTTGTTAACTGTAGGTGCAATGTTGTATAGGGGATCTCTAGAATGTACTCATTTTGCTTTACTCAAATTTTGACAGCGTTGAGCAAAGAAAATGTGGTCTATACATGCAACAGAATACTAGTTAAGTTTTTAGAAAATGAAACAAATTCACCATGTTGTCCAAGCTGGTTTCAAATCCCTGACCTCAAGTATCTGCCCACCACAGCCTCCCAAAGTGCTGGGATTACAGGCATGAGTCACCATGCCTGGTGAAACCCCATCCCCCCATCTGTAGTAAAACTACAAAAATTAGCCAGGCATGGTGGTGCATACTGCATACCTATAGTCCCAGCTACTCAGGACCCTGAGGCAGGAGAATGGTTTGAACCCGGGAGGCAGAGGTTGCAGTGAGCCGAGATGGCGCCACTGAACTCCAGCCTGGGCAACACAGCAAAACTGTCTCAAAAAAAAAAAAAAAAAAATCTGCAATATGCAACAACATGAATGAACCTAAGGGACATTACGCTGACTGAAATAAGCCAGTCACAGAATGACAAATATTGCATGGTTCCACTTATATGAGGCATCTAAAATTGTCAAATTCATAGAATCAAAAGGTAGAATGGTGGTTACCAGAGACTGAGCAGAGGAGGAAATGGGGAGCAGATACCACTCATTTGAATCTAAAGATTACACAAGACTCAGGCACACATGGAACTCAGCTGTCTCGCAGTTTAAACAGTAAATATTGTTTTATTCCCAAATGACTCTAAAGTTAGATAAAAATGCTTTTTTCTGGCCAGGCACGGTGGCTCACGCCTGTAATCCCAGCACTTCAGGAGGCCAAAGCAGGTGGATCATCTGAGGTCAGGAGTTCAAGACCAGCCTGGCCAACATGGTGAACCCCCGTCTCTACTAAAAATACAAAAAATTAGCTGGGCATGGTGGCGGGTGCCTGTAAATCCCAGCTACTTGGGAGGCTGAGGCAGGAGATTCGCTTCAACTTCGGAGGCAGAAGTTGCAGTGAGCCGTGATCACACCGTTGCACTCCAGCCTGGGCAAGAAGCGTGAAACTCCGTCTCAAAACAGCAACAACAAAAAAGCCCTTTTCTTTCTTGCGAACTATTTGCCACCACCTCAGATACTTAGGAAAAGCTTTGCTGTGGAATGAGCTGTAGTGTGCTACATGCTGGACCCACAATAGTGCTAGCCATCTATGCTTTCCTAAACTTTCCTTTTTGATGCACACCAGTGGCTGTCAGGCTTCAGAATGCATTGGAATCCCCAGCAGGGTTTGTTAAAACCCAGACGGTTGGCCCTACTTTGGGAGACTCCTCAGTCAGTAGATCAAGCGCGGTGTTCAAGGATTTGCATTTCTAACAGGTTTCCAGGCCCTGCTGGCTGATGCTGCTGGTCTAGGCACATGGAGTCCAACTGTGGTAGACCTTGCACACGCTGAAGTTACAAAACCTTTGATAGCCAGAGGGACTGCACAGAAGTTTACTGAAGCCACTAAGGCGTTATCCTTTATGAGGTGTGTGGCCCCTCTGCCTTTGTGTTTGGGCCAGTGTACACTTGATCTTAGCCAAAAGGCCAAGAAGCAATGGGCCAGTGTAAGTGGTGTTGCGTCTATAGAAATAAATTTGCCTGTGGATAAAGCTGACATAAGCTGAATTCACCAGCCAACATCAAATACCATGTACCGTAGGGCTTAAAGGCCTGGTCCTATTAGAAGTTAGACGCTGGCACATTACCAGCCTCTAAAAATTCCAAGGTCAAAATGCCCTACTCATATGGTAAAGTTTAATGCCCAAGGTTATATGTTCTGCTCTTACCAAAAGACTCCAGGAAAGGGTTTTTGTGTTTTAAACTCAGTCTAACAATTCTGTCCTTTATTGTTGAGAGTTGGTCAATTCTTATATGTGGTATACTAACTACATTTTAATTCATTTCTATCATACCTTTTCTATATATCTTTTCCTAGCTTTTCTAGCCATCCTGTAGATTAATTATGCTTTTACATGTACTCTACTTTTTTCTTCTAAGAATTCAGAAATTGTATACTATCTTTTCTTTTAGTGGTTACCATAGAAGTTTTAACATATTTATTTACAGCAATGTCGAAGGTTAATCAGTATCGCTATCCTCCTCCTGAACAATACATTATAACCCTGTATTCTTCTAATGTTTATTTGATTACCAGCCAAGGTTTTAGTGCAACCATATTTTAAAGTCTACAATTTAAACATTACTTTTGTTTAACCAGTGTTTGTTTAGATTTATACATATGTTGCGGGTTATTTTACTTCTTCCTGAAATTAATCCTTTCAATTCAGCCTTTAAAAATTTTAATAATAGTCTATGGGTAAAAAAAATTATGTTTTTCAGTAAAAATGTCTTAATTTTGCCACAGCACTTAAGTGATATTTTTACTGCCTATGCATCCTTAGTTGTAATCTTCTGTCAGAAATCTGAAAATGTTATCCTACAGTCTTTCTTCAGGCTTCCATTTTTACTGAGAGGGGGCAGCTGCTGCTCTGGTTGTTCTCTGTGTAATTTAGTTTTTCTATCAGCTTTTAAAATCTTTTCCTTGTCCCTTATTGCACAATTTGAAATAGATAAATTCAGGTGTAAGTTTCATTTTACTTATCCTGTTCATGTTTCATTGGGCTTTCTGAATCTAAGCATTAGAAAATTATATTTATTAAAATTTTCAGCCATTCCAATATTGTGTCTTCCCCCTTATCTTTATCAGTGTTCTGTTGAACTCTGATTAGACACATATTAGATTCCTCAATTCATCCTCTATTCCCATGACTTCCAGGTTTCTATGTGTCACTTTGTGCTACATTTTACATAATTTTGCATTGTTTCTTCAGTTCTATCTTTCAATTTACTAGTCTTCTATTTAGATGGGTTAATCTTCTCTTATCTAAAGGTTTCTACTTTTGGTTATTATGTATACTTTTTTCTAAAAGCTCATTTTGGTTCTTTTTAAAATCCACTTGGTTCATTGAAATGGACATTTTCATTTAAAATCCACTTGGTTCATTGAAACAGACATTTTCTTGTGTTATACTATATATACTATGTATATAGTATATATATTTCTCGTATTATACTATACTATATATCCTATATATAGCATATACTATATATGCATATCCTATATATAGCATATACTATATATAGCATATAGTATATATAGCATATACTATATATAGCATATACTATATATGTATAAACATATATAGCATATATATACCATGTATGTATATACTATATATAGCATATATATACCATATATGTATATACTACATATACATAGTATATAGTATACTATGTATATGTAGTATATACATAGTATGTATATACTATATATACTATTATATAGTATATCTTTCTTGTATTGTACTATACTATACTTTATATATAGCATATACATACTATGTATGTATGTATATGCTAGAGTATGTATATGCTATATATAAAGTGTATATATACTATATAGTATATATAGTATAAACATATATACACACTATATACTAAATATACGCATATGTATACTACATATATTACATGTTCAGAAAAACATAATGGTATGTGGGTATACTATATATGTGTGTATATACTATATATTACATGTTCAGAAAAACAATGGTATGTAATGGTGGGTGTATATGTAATACATATATGTAAGTGTGTAGATATATATACACATACCATACATGTATATACATATGATGTGTATACAGTGTATACATACTATATGCACATGTTATATATATGTGCATATAGTATGCATACATATGTTATATACACACATATATGTATGGTGTGTAGACATACACATATATACACACACCATATATATGTTATAGTACATATGTAATATATATGTATATACTATACACAAATTTCTCTTTCCATTTTTACAATTTCTCTGATAGAATATTTGTTCTTACTATAGATCTCAGCATCTTGGCATACAATTTCTTTTCATTCCTTATCAAGTAGAAAACTTTTACCTTTCCACTTGATGGGAGCACTTTATGGCTTTTCTTTGGCATATCCGAATTGCTAACATCACTGAACTCTTGGGTTTGGGGCCGTGATTAAGTGAAATAAGAGTTACTTGAGTGCAAGCACTGTGACACCTGACAGTCGATCTGGTAACTAAGATAACTACTAAGTGACTCACTCAGCATAATACAGTGTGGGTGCACTGGACAAAAGGATGGTAATTGATAACTGTCCCAGGAACAGAGTGAGACTTCATGAGATTTCATAATTGTATTGGTTCATTTAGTGTTGCTATCAAGGGATATCTGAGGCTGGGCAAATTTATCTAACAAAAAAAAAAAGAAGAAAAAAAAAACACGAGACTTATTTGGCTCATGGTTGTGCAGGCTGTACAAGAAGCATGGAGTCAGCATCTGCCTCTCTTGAGGGCTCAGGCTGCTTCCAGTCATGGCAGAAGGTAAAATGGAGCTGGTGTGTGCAGAGATCACATGGTGAGAGAGGAAGCAAGAGCAAGACGGGAGGTACCAGGGCCTTTCAAACAACCAGCTTATGGGGACTAAGGGATTGAGAACTCCACCCTGAGGAAGGGCATTAATCTATTGATGAGGTATCCACTTCCATTAGCCAAACACCTCCCACTAGGCCCTGCCTCCTAACACTTCCACACTGGGGATTAAATTTTAACGTAAGATTTGCAGGGGACAAACATACAAACTATAGCAATTGTGCTACATAGAATGGCACACAATTTAAAATGTGAATTATTGCTTTCTGGAATTTTCCATTTAATATTTTCAGACCATGGTTGACCACAGGTAACTGAAACTGCAGGGGGGGTGGAAAAACTGTGGATAAGGAGGGGATGACTGATTCATTCCAATTTCTGAGTGAATGTTAAAGGTAATTAAAACTCACGTAAGTGTAAACTTGAAGTTAAGCATTCCCTGGGTGAACACTTTTGTCTTCTGCTTTTTATTTTTCCAGATCAGCATGCACCAAGTCTAAGAGAAACAAGACTCCATATTGTACATCTCTGAGGTTGTGTGGATATGCTGTGTGTATGTCATTTTAATTCACCAATTAGAGTATTGCCCTTAGAAGGGATCATCTTTATGCAAGGGCCTCCTGTCTGCAAATGTTTCTGGTTTTTTTCTTCTGATTATATCTTATCCCCAACACACATGGAACCCTTTAAAATTCCCTCTGTAGTCCATGAGGGGATGACATAAGATCAAAGGGCAAATGGCATAATAAGGCTCACTTATCTCTCTCTCTCTGCTTCTTTAATTTTGTTTTTGGCCTTTTGAAATTTGTATTACTTTCTAGTTATTCATTTAAAAACTCAAGTCCCATATTTTACCCAGCATTTTATGTGTTGTTCTGAGAAATTCTCTCTGGATATCTAGTTTTGTCATATTCCCATTATTAAAAGTCTAGAAATCACTTCCAGAGTTTAATAACTTTAAATATTATTCATAATTGAAAAATATCATTTCGTTTTTACTTGATGTTGATTTTGGCTATTTAAGTTTATAAATTAAATGCTTAATCTAATTACTTTTTTTATTTGACAATGAAAGATTTTAAGAGATTTGATTTTAGATAAAAGGTAACCTTTCTCCAATGGTTTTGATAAATATTGTTCTCATTTTTGCTATTTTCAAAATAGCACGTAATTATATATTTTATTTCTTCTCAGTGAACCAATCCTTATTTAAATAGAATGTTGTTTAACTTCCAAGTGGTTTTCTCACATTGTTTTGATTACACATTGTGATTAATTTCTAGCTTTAATGCTGTGTTGCCAGAGAATATGGCCTCTACAATTTCTACCATATAATTAAATTCTATAAACATTACATTAGTGCCAACAAAGGTGTATGTTCTGTTTGATATTGGTATAATTGAATACATACTTTTATTAATTTTATACTATTTAAATGATTAAATCTTTGTTCTTTTTTTCACTTCCTATTTTGTCAAAGGCTGAGAAAATTATGCTGAAGTCATTCATAAAAATAGTTTATGAATTTCTCATTTAACATCTAAAAGAGTTTCTTCATATTTTGGTCTTATTTTTAACCTTTTATGATGTATGATTTTTAAAACTTAACTCTCGGATTAACGTTTTCTGAATTTAAATTGATCTTTTTGAAATGAATTTTGCCTTGAATTCTACTTTCTCTGATATTATTATGATTCTTAAAACATTTTTGTTGGCCGGGCACAGTGGCTCATGCCTGTAATCCTAGCACTTTCGGAGGCTGAGGTGGGTGGATCACCTGAGGTCAGGAGTTCAAGACCAGCCTGGCCAACATGGCAAAACCCCATCTCTACTAAAAATACAAAAATTAGCCAGATGTGGTGGTGCATGCCTGTAGTCCCAGTTACTCGGGAGGCTGAGGCAGGAGAATCGCTTGAACCCAGGAGGCAGAGATTGCAGTGAGCCAAGATCACACCACTGCACTCCAGCCCAGCCTGGATGATCGGTCTCCAAAAAAAACAAAAACAAAAACAAAACAAAAAAAACCCACATTTTTGTTTAAATTTGCTCAACTATTGCTTTTTCTAATTTTGGGAAGAGTTATAATATACATACTACATAATTTACCTATTTATTTAGAGCCTGGGTCTCACTTTGTCACCCAGGCTGGAGTGCAGAGGCACCCTCATAGTTCATTGCTGACTTGACAAATGGGCCAGTGGCCAACTAGCTAATTCTGTAACTTCCAGGTAGTTAACCACAAGATCAGGTCTTGATAAACTGCCCAGCTATTGGTGCAGATTACCATAGGTGTCTCCTCCTTGGCGATCACTATCCACACTGCCTTGAGTTCAGCCCACTGACTACTTTGTCCACACCCAGTATCAAACCATATGGTATACATACTAGGCTGGACTGTGACAGCAGTCCGGGCAGCAGTAGGACCCCAGCTGGGCCCATCCATATACTACACCCTATCGGGAATGGGGGATATCCCTCTTTAAATGGTGATGGTTCAGGGTTTAGGGGTGCCTCAGGCTAAGGTGGATGTCTGTGCTGTCTCAGTCTGGGGGTTGTTACCCATGAACGTATCCATCCTGCTACTGGGTAAGTCACTGACACAATGATGATAGCCCATCCCATCACACTCTCACAACCCTGAATGGTGGCAATGAAGCTGCTAATTGCTTCCCTATCAACGAATACTGGAGCTCCAGCTCCCTCCCAAAGTTGGGACCAAAACCCTACTGGTGTTCTAAAGTGCTCTGCACACTGCCATGGGCTCCAGCCAAAACCATCTGTGGTCACGGGCACACTGAGTTCAAATGGGCACCCAGGGTCAATCACTTATAAGGCCTGCACTTGCTGTATGACCCACTTGGCTGCGAGAAAAGCCATCTCAGCCTCACTGTCCCAATGCTAAGTAGTTTCTTTTTTTGTCAACTGATAAAACAGTTTTATCATCTGAGCCAAATGAGGCACAAATGCCCACCAATATCCCAAGAGGCCCATAAAGGTCTGTAGCTGCCTCATCATTGTGGGCCGGGGATATGCCTGAACTTTATCAAGGATGGCTTCAGGTATGGCCTTCATCTTACCCGACCAGATAACTCCCAAGAATTTAGCAGGCAATCCAGGCCCTTGGACCTTGGATTCAGTGATGGCCCAACTGCATGCTGCCAAATGTTGTCACAAGAGGGGTGCCGCTGCTTCTAAATATGCAAGAGAATCAGAGGTTAATGTAATATGTATCACTGCAGTATGAACCAATTCAAAGGTTCAAGGCAACTTTCTGTGTTTTTTGCAATGCTGCCAATCATACAAGTAGTTTTCCTTAGAATGGTTTCTTGAGTCCATTTTAGAGTTCTGAACCAGAGTGACACCATTTTGTATTATCACATTTCACTTATTCATTTAGAACATAATCACAATAAAAACATCAGACTTTTGTTTCTGTTTTTTTTGGTTTTGTTTGTTTGTTTTGAGACGGAGTCTCACCCTGTTGCCAGGCTGGAGTGCAGTGGTGCAATCTCCGCTCACTGCAACCTCCACCTCCCAGGTTCAAGTAATTCTCCTGCCTCAGCCTCCTGAGTAGCTGGGACTACAGGCACACACCACCACGTGCAGCTAATTTTTGTATTTTTTAGTAGAGACAGGGTTTCACCATGTTGGCCAGGCTGGTCTCGATCTTTTGACCTCGTGACCCCACCAAAGTGCTGGGATTACAAGTGTGAGCCACCGCACTCAGCCAAACTAAACATCAGACTTTTTAAAGTAGATTTATTATTTTTAAATTTTATATGGAAAAACTTCAAATGCCTAGACCTTTTGACCTGGCAATTCCAAATCAGTGAAATGAAGCCTATACATGGTAAGTTATGGTAGTATTATTTGCAATAACTGAAGACTGGAAATAATGCAACAATCATTATTTGGTTAAGTAGAATGTGGCAAATCCATATAATAGAATTTACTAAGCTGCTAAAAAGAAATGAGGAAGTTAATTATTTACATACTGATTTACAAAGATCTCAAAATTAAACTGTTAAGTGAAAAAGTAAAGTAGAAAACTGTGTACATAATATACCACCCTTTGTGTATACAAAGAAGGAAAGAATATGTAATCATATATTTGCATTTGTATAAATAAGTTCTGGAAATTATGAAAACTGACTCAAATGATTAACTGGCTGTGTATCGCTGGAACTGGATTAATTGAAAACAGAGATAAAAAAATTCTGACTTTGACCATGTGCACTAGTGGCCTATTTTAATAATTAATAAACATATCTTCAAAATGCCAACAAGATTGAACACTCACTAGCGTATGATTGTGGCATCTACTGGTTTGGCAACAATTAAAGCGCCTGGTAACATCAAGCATGGTGAGGGTATAGGGCATTGGGAATGTCTACACATTTCCGGTGCCAGTATAAAATGGCTCAACCCCTTCAGGAAAGATTATAACGAAGTGAAGTTTAACTCCAAATGCCTTATGATCTCACAATGTTACTCCTTCCTATGTATCTCAGGAAGTCTTGCACCTGGATACTGAACAATATGTGTAAGAGTATTCAAGGAAGCATTTTTTTTAAAAGAAAAAAACTTTGAAATAAGCTAAACGTCCATCCAGGGCAGAATGGATAAACTAATTATATAATATTTATGCAAGGAAATATTCAGTAGTGAAAAAACTATCATCTCCACTACCTGCATAGACTGCAACGAACCTCAAAAACTATGCCAAACAGAAAAATCATACAGTATGAATCAACTCACTAAAAGTTCAATAATGGCAAAACTAACCAATATCTTGTTTATGGAAAAATGCGTATGTGGTAAATAAATATGGCAGTGACTTGTACGCTATTCAAGGATGTGTTTATTTCTCAGTGAAGGAGGAAGAGGCTATTTGGAGAGGATGAGTTGAGGTTACTAGCAGTATTCTATTTCCCTTAAGATTAGAACAAAACGTTTATTCAAGTTTTAGCATTTTTTTTTTTTCCTTTTGAGATGGAGTCTTGCTCTGTCGCCCAGGCTGAAGTGCAATTAAGTTTCAGCATTTTTTTTTTTCTTTTGAGATGGAGTCTCACTCTGTCACCCAGGCTGGAGTGCAATGGCGTGATCTTGGCTCACTGCAACCTCTGCATCCCGGGTTCAAGCAATTCTCTGCCTCAGCATCCTGAGTAGCTGGGATTACAAGTGCCTGCCACCATGCCCGGCTAATTTTTTTTTTTATTTTTAGAAAAAACAGGGTTTCACCATCTTGGCCAGGCTGGTCGTCAATTCCTGACCTCGTGATCCACCCCCCTGGGACTCCCAAATTGGTTTTTTTGTTTGTTTTGGAGACGGAGTTTCGCTCTTGTCACCCAGATTGGAGTGAGGTGGCACCATCTCAGCTCACTGCAACTTCTGCCTCCCAAGTTCAAGCGATTCTCCTGCCTCAGCCTCCCCAGTAGCTGGGATTACAGGCACCTGCTACCAAGATTGGCTAATTTTTTGTATTTTTAGTAGAGACGGGGTTTCACCATGTTGGCCAGACTGGTCTTGAACTCCTGATCTCAGGTGATCCACCCACCTCGGCCGCTCCCAGTGCTGGGATTACAGGCATGAGCCACAGCACCTAGCCTAGTTTTAGCATTTAAAAATACCTACATTCAAATGCAGTCTTTTGTATGTAGAACTTATTTCCTGATCTTTTTATATGGAAAGACAAAATGGCTCTTTGAGAAGATTAATAAAATGGACATGTTGAATCAGGAAAATAATTTTAATGAGGAAAGAAGTTCTCCTCCTGATAAGGAGAAAATAAAATATTAAAAGCTATAAACAGCTGTATGCACTTACATTTCAGAATCTCGGGAAAATGGAAAAAGTCTGGAGAAATAGACATTTTAAAAAGTTCACTCAAGAAAAGGTAGAAAACCTGAATAGAGAAGCTATTGTGAAAAACTCTGAAAAATTTATCAAAGAATTACTTTACAGAAACTCCTGTGCCAGACGGCTTTGGGATTTCATTTTCAAACTTTCAAGAGAATTAAAATCTTCATGCTATCAAAATGGTTCTAGGCATAGAATAATATGAATGCATACTTTATGTTGTAAATCCAACATAATCCTGATTCCGAAATGTGAAAAGAGGGAATAGAAATCTGTAGTAAAATTTGAAAGAGATATAAAAATCGTTAATTATATATTATCAGACCGAATTCAGCAGCAAAATCAAAAGAATTATTTACAATGGCCAAGTAGGACTTATCCAAGAAATGCAAGGATCACTTATAGAGAGATCTATTAATGCAACGAGAGAGAGAGACAGACAGACAGACAGATTCACTCTGTCACCCAGGCTGGAGTGCAGTGGCGCGATCTCAACTCACTGCAACCTCTGCCTCCAGGGTTCAAGCAATTCTCCTGCCTCAGCCTCCTGAGTAAGCTGGGATCACAGGTGCATGCCACCACACCTGGCTAATTGTTTTTTATTTTTAGTAGACACAGGGTTTTACCATGTTGGTCAGACTGGTCTCAAACTCCTGATCTCATGATCTGCCCACCTCGGCCTCCCAAAGCGCTGGGATTACAGGCGTGAGCCACCGTACCCGGCCAACATTTTACATAAATATTTTAAGGAAAATATAGGAATTATAATTTTAGCAGGGGAAGAAAAGACAGTCAATTAAACTGTCAATTCAAACTACATTCTATATTCCCAAAGTTTGTTTTCTGGGAAAATTTAGGAATGGAATATTTTTTTAGCCTAGTAAGACTTTCTCTGTTAGGTCAACATTATTCTTAACAGTGAAAAACTAAAGAGAATTTCTGTTAAAACCAGAGGCAAAAGCAAGCAAATAAGATGCCCACAGTCATCTTTATCACGTATTGCATTGCTCTGAAAATTATGAGTAATGTAATTAGTATGAAACCTGAAAAAGAGATATGATTATTGAAAAGGTAAAAAATGTTATTTTGTATAATGCAATTATATTCTTATAAAACTCCAATGAATCCATTTTAAAACCATTTATCTTTTAACTTCATAGAAGTACTTTTAAAATCTATGTTTTATATATATCAATAATAATCTATGCTAAAATGACAAGCCATTTTAGAATGGTAACCAACACATAAAATTCTGAAAAAAAAAACTCTTTGAAAAATAAGTAGAATTTATGGGATCTACCCAAAAATTTGCTGAAAAATAATAACTATTTTCAATATATAGGCAAAAATATTTATGAATGAGAAAAATTGTACATTAATTCTTCTAGAATTTATGAGTTTAATGAAATCTCAATTAAATTCTTAATGGAATTTGTCTGGAACTTCATTATTGGATTTTAAAGTTCACCTGAGGGAAAAAGCAATAATTATATAAACAAAACAAAGTCATGAGAAAACAGCTGAGAACTTTTTAAAAAGAGGGATTAGGAGATAATTTTCCTACAAAAGTTTTATGGATCAAAACGTAGGACATCAAAATTGTGTGACAGAGCAAAAGAAGAAAGGTCAGTAGAGGGGAGTTGGGGTGAAATAAGACTGGGCTGGAGAGGTGGCTGCGGAGATAAAGAGGTGAGGGTTAGAGAGGGGAAGGTTAGAGATGGGCTTCAGCAATGGTTCATAACTGAACAACATGGGAAGCCTCACAAAACAATGAGGAAGCAATAGTTATTAAGTATATTTTAATGGAGAAATTCAGTACTGGGTGAAGGGAGTAAAATTGCAGTCTCAACTGAATTACTAAAAGCTAATTCTGGGCTGATAAAGAGTTAAAACTAAAAACAAGCAAATATACAAACCCAGAAATCTAGGAGCAGCCATATGGATAAGGACCCAACTGTCTTGGGTCAGCCAGGATGTCTCCATCAGGCCTTGCCTGTGCCCCTCCCGAGGCCCATCCATTGCCAAGTCCAGTGGGACCCAGCGCTGAAAGTCATCTCCAACCTACCCCACCTCCATCTCTGCTTCCACCTCACCAGCTCAAAATGCTCTCCATTTGCCCATCTGGGACCCGGTGGTGAAGCCTATCTCTAGCACTCCGCACTTCTCCATCTCTGCTACCACCTCCCAAGCCCCAGTTACTCTCCCCTGAACCACCTGAGACTCAGTGCTGAAGCCTATCTCTAACCTTTCCCACTTCTCCATCTCTGCTGACACCTCACTACTCCTGGCCACGCTCACCTGGCCCACCTGGGACCGAGTGCTAAGGCCCATCTCTAACCTCCCCCACCTACCCAGCCCTGGCCACTGTCTCCTGGACCACTGCAGTCCTCTCCATGGATTTTCTGGTTTTGCAACCCTCCCATCCTTTCTCCACCCAGCAGCCCATGTGCCCCTCATAACACACAACTCTGTATTATTCCCATTTACCTCCCTTCCTGACCATTCAGTGCACCCACTGATTAATCGCAAAATGCAACACCTGTGCTGCCTCATTCCTCTCTGCCTCTCCACTCCCTGTTTCACTGTTTCCTCTCTACAACTCTGCTGCTCCAGCTACATTGCCTTCCATCAGTTTCTCAAGAAGGTTGGAAAGAAAACAAAAATACCCAATGAAAGAACTAGCTAAGACAAAAAAAAAATGATAGATTTGATCACCTAAAACTTTAAACCCTCTCTACATAAAAATCATCATTAAGTAAGATAATGAAAGACAAACTGGAGGGAAAGATTTGCAACAAGCAACTAGAGAAGGATTCAGAAACATTTAACAAGCTCTCCGAATTAGCAAGATATGAACAAAGATTCCAACTGGAGTCCGGGGTGGAATATGCACAGGCGATTCAACAAATAAATGCTTAAGACAGATGAATGTGTGAAAGATTTTCTTCCCTAGTCAAAGAAATGAAAGGTTGCACTGTAAGATAGCATTTTTTATCTATTATTTTAGTAAATATGTATTTTTCCTTTTCATAATGTTGTTTTGAGTTTTAACTTTTTGAGATGGAGTCTCGCTTACATATGGAAAAGTATGCAAATGTTCAGCTTTTACATTTTTGTAAAAGTACTTTTTTACGTTTTACATAGATTTTACATTCATGTAGTCACACTTGGATCAAGGTACAGAACATCTGAAGCATCCCAGAAGCTTCCATTGTCCTCCTAGGATATTAACTTCTTAGTTAATATTCGCCTCACAAGAAGTAACCATTATTCTCATTTCTGGCTCCATAGATTCATCCTTCCTGTTCTTGAACTTGATAAAAAAGAAATTGTACAGAATGTACCTTTTCTGTATCTGTCTCCTTTGGCTCAACATACCTTGTGGTGGCCATCATCAGTAGTGGTTTTGCTGTTTTCTTTTAAAACCTGCTATGTGGTGCCTCATTGTAGGAAACACTACAATGGATCTCTTTATTCCCTGGTTGATGGTCATTAGGGCTGTATCCAGATGGGTCTAGTATGAATAGTTCTGCCATGAACTATTTTTGTATATAAACCTTGGTGGGCATATATATTTATTTCTCTTAGATATAAACCTTGGAGTAGATTTCCTGGGTTATAGATTAGACAGGGATTTAGCTTTAGCAAATACTGTCAAATTGTTTTTTCAGTTATTACACCAAGAATTGATGTTCCAGCCTATCAAAATGAAGTCTGATATAGAAAGAAAATAGAATGCTCCTTTCTTCCTTCCTTCCTTCCTTCCTTCCTTCCATTTCTCCTCATCTCCTCTCTTCTGCCGCTTAATCTGCACTCTCAACCTTTTCCCATTCCCATCCCTTTCCCTCCTCCTCCCACACCATTTCAGGCCACTTACAACTGGAAGATGCTTCTGGCCTAAGCAAGTCCATAAACTAGATTCTGAACTCCTTGTATCAGCAACTGCCTAATTAGAGGCACAATTTGTGGTTAAGGAAAGTGTCCACCAGCCTAATATGCCTCACGGAGATGCACTTCTGCTGGTAATTACCTCCAGCTTCCAGTTAACAGAGGGACAAGAACATCTGTATCAAGAGTGATGAGAAAGCCCTTGCACAGGGTCTTCTGGGTCTGAAACAGAAAGCGGGGAGCCAGAACTTGTGTTTGCTTAGTGGGCCATCCTTTACTCTCTGATAGGAAGGAAAGTGTGCAACTCCTTGACAACTCCTGTCACCTGCCTGTTGTCCAAAGGAGATGACTTCATTTCTACTTCTAGAGCTGAGCAGGTCTCTATCCAGTGTTCATTATTTAAATAGGAGAAAATGCAGTGTGGAGCATAGATTCCTAAACATAAACACTGAGGCATGTTGCAAAGTTAGTTAGCTCCCAATAATTAAAGAAACAAAGTGTCCAAAAGATTGCCTTTTCCAATAGAAATATGATTCAAGTTGTATTAGTCTGTTCCCACACTGCTATGAAGAACTACCTGAAACAGGGTAATTTGTGAAGAAAAGAGGTTTAATTGACTCACAGTTGTGCAGGCTATATAGAAGGTATGACTGGGGAGGCCTCAGGAGACTTACAATCACGGCAGAAGGCAAAGGGGAAATGTGAGGTTGGAGACCTCACATAGAGTCCCCACTGGGGCACTGCTTAGTGGAGCTGTGAGGCAAATAGCACATCTTGCATGGTGGGAGCAGAAGGAAGAGAAAGAAGGGAAAGTTGCTACACAATTTTAAACAACCATATTTCGTGAGAACTCACTCACTAGCATGTGAACAGCAAGGGGGAAATCTGCCCCCATGATTCAATCACCTCTCACCAGGTCCCTCCACTAACACTGGGGATTACAATTCAACATGAGATTTGGGTGGGGACACAGAGACAAACCATATTATTCCATCCCTGGCCCTTCCCAAATCTCATGTCCTTCTCACATTTCAAAACACAATCATGCCTTATTCCAGCATTAACTCAAAAGTAACTCAAAAGTCCAAGTCCAAAGTTTCATCTGAGACAAGGCAAGTCCCTTCCACCTACGAGCCTCAACAATCAAAAACAAGCTAGTTACTTCCAAGAATCAATGGGGGTACAGGCAATGGGTAAATGCCCCCATTCCAAAAGGGAGAACTTGGCCAAATAAACAGCCTACAGGCCCCATGCAAGTCTGAAACCCACAGGGCAGTCATTAAATGTTAAAGCTCCAAAATAATTTCCCTTGACTCCGTTTCTCACATCCAGGCCACACTGATGAATGGGATGGGCTCCCAAGGCATTGGGCACCTCCACCCCTGTGGCTCTGCAGGGTACAGCCCCCATAGCTGCTTTCACAGGCAGGCATTGAGTGCCTATGGCTTTTCCAGGTGCATGGTGCAAGCTGTTGGTGGATATACAATTCTGGGGTCTGGAGAATGGTGGCCCTCTTCTCACAGCTCTACTAAACAGTGCCCCAGTGGGTACTCTGTGTGAGGGCTCCAACCCCGTATTTCTCCTCTGCACTGCCCTAGTAGAGGTTCTCCATGAGGGCTCTGTCCCTGCAACACACTTCTGCTGGGCATCAAGGTATTTTCATACATTCTTTGAAATCTAGGCAGAGGCTTCCAAGCCTCAACTCTATAGACTTCTGCACACCCACAGGGCCAACACCACACAGGAGCCACCAAAGCTTGGGGCTTGCACCCCCTGAAACAATGGCCTGAGCTGTACATTGGCCCCTTTTAGCCACAGCTGGAACTAAAGTGGCTGGGACACAGGGCACCATGTCCCAAGGCTGCAAAGAGCAGTAGGTCCCTGGTCCTGGCCCATGAAACCATTTTTTCCCTCCTAAGCCTCCAGGCCTGTGATGGGAGGGGCTGCCACGAAGGTCTTGGAAATGCCCTGGAGGCATATTCCCCATTGTCTTAGCTATTAACATTCAGCTCTTCTTTAGTTATGCAGATTTTTGCAGCCTTGAATTTCTCCCCAGAAAATAGGTTTTTCTTTTCTGCCGAATGGGCAGGCTGCGAATTTTCCAAACTTTTATGTTCTGCTTCCCTTTTAAATATAAATTCTAATTTTCAGTCATTTCTTTGTTTATGCAAGTGAGTGTAGGCTTTTAGAAGCAGCCAGGCCACATCTTGAATGCTTTGCTGCTTAGAAGTTTCTTCTGCCAGGTACCCTAAATCATCTCTCTCAACTTCAAAATTCCACAAATCTCTAGGGCAGGGACAAAATGTTGCCAGTCTCTTTGCTAAAACAGACTTCACTGTCCATATCACTATCAGCATTTTGGTCACAAACATTCAACAAGTCTCTAGGAAGT